>NC_000011.10:96566364-96869394 GCF_000001405.40 Homo sapiens | reverse complement strand
TGACAAATTTCCTGGCATGCAAAAAGTGGCTACTGCCAAGATATCAAAGTCTGACTAGGCAAAAGAGCAGCTGGAGAGTGGTAAACAGGCCTCCTTTGCTGGACCATCCTGGCAAAGGCCTTCCAGAAAAGATCACTGAATCTTGTCTCTCAATAATGGGGTCTCAAGGAGGAGACTGATGGGGTCCCTGCCAAGGAACTTGTGGCCAGGTCCAGGCCATGAGAGGCTCAACAGACAACCCCATGAGGATTCAAGTGGTGGCAGTCCCTATGAGTGACATTGGTGCTGATCCCTCTGACCCTCCTCGTGGGCCTGAAGATGAGCTGAATGGTCCATCCAGCCTCTGCCAGGTTTTTTAGTATTCACAAATAAACAAGACAAAGAGTTAGACTGAGGTCCTTCTCTCTCCAAAGAGAACAAGAAACCCTACTTCACGGTCATAGCTCAATGGAGAGATGGGGGGAATCTAGTACTTCTTGGGCCTTTTGGAGATCAGTACACAAATGACTTATGATTCCCACAACCCTTGGCACCAAGATAAGGGGAAACAGATAATATTGTCTGGAATTGGGTTCTAGGCTACCACCACTAGCAGTCTTAACCAGACATGACTATGGATGAGCCACTTCAGGTTTCTACAAGTCTCCATTGTATGGCCCCCATCACTGAATGCATAGTTGGTACAGATATATTATGCATTGCACCCTACTCACCTTCACCCACAGCCCTGGCAAGAATTGATGCAGGTAGGGCCATCTTAGTGGGGCATATGGAAGACTGTTAATTTGCTCCACTACTGACAATTGGTGCTGTTATTCCCCCCAAAACTAACCACCCTTTGGCCAAACTTAAGGAAAATGAAGTTCTCTATAAGACTATTTCTCTATTCTGTAGCCCTATCTGGCATGTGCACAAGGCTTTGGGTGCCTAGAAACTCACCTTTGAGTACTGGAGGCTCAATGTTGTCCTACCACTCTTGGAATTGGTGGAACCAGATGTTGTGACAGTCACAGAAGCTATTGCTCAAGCTAAGTGAACTTGGTGTGTAGCAATTAATATTACAAATGGTTTTTTCAGCATCTCCTTCAAATCAGATTATCAGGATCAATTTGCCTTTATGTGGAATGGATTCCAATATACTGTAATGTTTCCTTAATGCTACCTAAATTATCTGGCTATCTGTCATCAACAGATAGGTCATAACCCTGAAAAATGTCACTCCTAGACAAAATACTAGCCTTCCACTATATTAATGACATCCCCTGGTGGGCATAGACAAGGCCATCACCCAACAAAAACTGGATGCCTTCTTGACCCACAAGTGACAACATGGCCAGTCCATTACTAAAAAGTATAAGGATCTAGCAACTAAGTAAAATTCCTGGGCATAATCCAGGAAGGTGCACAATTCTAGAGCAGACAATTATGAAGCATTTGACTCTCTCTACATGAAAAAATAGAAAGAAAGAGGACCCCTAACCCACAAGATTCCCTTAGAAGGATCTTCCAACGGGCCACTCAAGTTACTCCCCTAACCCATCCAGGCCCCACCAATTCATATTTGCTGTTTGAGTTACAGGTTTTATCAACCTTCCAGTTTGACAATTGAAACCTATGGCAGAAGAATACTACCACAGGTTAGAGGTATTTGTTGGGCCTTTGGACTCCTAGGCTCCCCAAGTCAGCTTAAGGGCATGCACGCTTTAAGAGATTATTATTGGCTTGCCATTGTGCCTTGGTGGTTACTGAGTGTATGGCCCATGGTCATGAAGTAATCTTGTAACTAGAGATCCCAGTCACACCTTGGGCCTGAACATAGCCCTCAAATTGTCAAGTGGAGAAAGCTAAGAAATTATCTCTAGTGAAATAGAATTGGTACATAGAGAAGTGGGTAAAATCTGGCCAGGATGTGCTTTAACACCATAAAAAAAGCTTGCAACACCATAAAAAAAAGCTTCAGGAGTGCTCCTCTACCCCTAGGCATATGCTCAAAGAGCCACTGCCTCCACTGTCCCAGAGGAAACACAGATATAGAAACCTCCTGGACCACTGATAGGCCTTGTTCACTGAGAGCTCTTCCCAGTTAACTTATACCAGGATGGAAAAGGGTATAGCTGCCATCTGATCTGAGAGAGGCCTGTCCCTCACTGAGCGCAGTAAAGGATGCTCAGCACAATGAATAGCACTTCATGTAGTGTGGATGGCTATCCAGGCCACCCCAGCTGATGAGATATGCTACATTTTCACTGACTCACAGGCTGTGACCAATGTCTTGGCCATTTGGTTAGGCCACTGGCAGGTCTGAGTGCCATATAAACAAGCTTCCCTGTAGGGGTGAGACATTTAGAAAAAAAAATGCTCCATTCCTAATAAGGTTTTCTTATCAAGGTTGATGATCACCAGAAAGGCTCTCAGACTGACAAAGGGGAATATAATCAATGAGCAGACCATGTTTGTCAGCTAAACTCAGAGACTGAATTGTGCCCTAATCCAGAACAAGCAGATGTTCAACCTATTGCCTTCTGGATCCATGAGAAATTTGGATACCATCCTAGACTGGCCTACATGCATAGACTGCCTCTGTGGTCTGAACATGCCAACATAGCATGGAAAAGGTTTTCCTCCAGCCAGACCATGGCCAAAGCTAAAAATGCTGCCTGGGAAAAAATCTCTCCAGCCAATGACCAAGGAGTTTCCAATGAATAGATCACATTGGGCCCCTCATCCAATCAAGAAGATTCCACTAGATCCTGACTGTAGCTGATACTTTCTCTGAATTTACTCAGGCATCCTTGTGCATCCCACTGACTCAGGCCACACTATCCAGATCACTGAAGACCATATGTGTCTTGTTCAGGTTTTCCGAGTAGATTTTATTTGATAATGGCTTTAAATTGTGGCCCAAGTTCCATATCAACAGGCCCAGTCACAGGACATACAATGAATTCTTTATATTCCATATCACTTCCAAGCTGCAATAATGATTGAGCATTTTCATGGATAATTAAAATACAGACTTAAGTGGCTGATAGCACAAGTAAAGATAATCCCCGCCTGGACGTCGGAGGAAAGCAGTCTGGGGTCTCAATGCTGCATTTCTCTGAAAGGGTACTTTTAATTCATGCTCTATGTGTTACTGTCTGACCTCTTCCTTCAATTGTACACCCCTTTTCAATAATTATTGACAGCTGGGTCTCTGGAGGGGACCCTGCAAGGGCCTTCTTTCCCCTTCACTCTCTTTCTTAAAACTCAAATACTTGAAAGATTAGAATGGCTATTAAACAATGAGGAGTGGGAGACGGTAACCTCCTCTATTTACCACCTGGGTGCACAAGTTGGATTTTTTGCCTACAAGGACTTCAAAAATAATGAACATCAATTTGAGTTCTCTAGTTCAATATTTTCCTTAAGGGGGCCCACGTGCTTTTTCCCATGTAGCCCCATGGGATCAGTATCAGAATACAAAATGTTACTGAACCACAAAAAGATAGGACAGAAGACTTTCATGTATCATCCTAGGAGATGGATTAAGAGTTCTATCCTTGCTCACGGTACAGGAAAGACTGCCCACGTTGCATTCAATAGGGAAAGGTCTCCTTAACTGACACCAGGTGAACACCTTCTAACCTAATAGCCTGTGCAGGACAGGAAGGGTAGAGGCATCTAACCTCTTCTCTCTCTCCTGCAGAAGAGCCTGTGATTCTTGCTTTGCCAAATTTGTTGCTTTCTCTTTCACCATCTCCCAGAGGGTTAGATTGCCAGGAAGAGCAGGATGTCAGCATTTCTGGTTTTACCACAAGCTCCCCGTTGTGGAGGTTAAGTTCTGGATGAGTGTGAATAAAAGGAGCAAATTGTGATAAAAGGCAATTGGGAGGAAATTGTTAGGTTCATCTGAGATATAGGTTAAACTGCAAGTCAGCTGGTTTACTGGAGAGAATCGGGAAAAGACACAGCTGAGAATATCCACCTTGGGGTCAAAACAAATCTCAAAAACTGACTGCAAAGGTAATTATCCCTTCAAAAGAGACCAAATTTGATTGGATTTATCTGTAACGTAATTTATGGAACTAGACATTGTTAAAAACAGTAGAGCATCAGCCAACAATAAGTGGAGTTTAACAGCTGGGCATTGTCTGGAAAACAGTCAAAAAGACACTTGCCAAAAAAACACTGTCACCTTTGAGTGACTGTGGACATACCCAAGGCTGTACACCCTGAGAAGCACATCAGAGGCTTCATACTGCAGGACAGAAATAGACTTTACAAAAATAATCAAGCCAGTTACTAAACAGGTAAACAAGAAAACAGCAAGTATAAGATGAGGGGCAAGGAGAAGTATAGTACCAGTACCGAGAGCTGCTTTAAAAAAATCCAGTTTCCATGAGAATGGTCAATGGGTACAAAAATATAGTTACATAGAGTGAATAAGATGTAGTATTTAATAGCATAACATGGTGACTACAGTGAACAATAATTTAATATACCTTTTAAATAACTAAAAACTTAAAATTTGAATGTTTATAACACAAAGAAATGATAAATGCTTGAGGCAATGGATACTCCATTTATCCAGATGTGATTACTCATTGTACATCTGTATCTAAATATGTCATGTACCCTATAAATATATAAATCTACTATGTACCCATAAAAAATAAAATAACCAGTTTCCAGCAAAAATTACAAGACCTGCAGCAAAACAGGAACGTATGACCCAAACGCAAAGGGGGAATAAAAGCTTGCTATATATATTGCCTATTAGAGTGCAGAGATGTTAGATTTAAGAGACATAAAAATTCAAAGAAGCCATTATAAATATGTTGAAAGAACAAACCATAATTAAATAAATTAAGAAAATTATAATAATAATATTGCACCAAATAGTAAATATCCATAAAGAGATGTAAATTATAAAAAAGAACCGAATGGAAATTCTGGAATTAAAAAGTAGAATAATTTAAATGAAAATTCTACTAGAGATTAGAACTGGCAGAAAGAATTAGCAAACTTGAGGATAAATCAATAGAGATTATGCAATCTGAAGAACAGAGGGCAAAAAATAAAGAAAAATGAATGTAACCTCAGAAAAATACAGGACACCAGGAAGCATACCAACATACATGTAATAGGAATACCAAAAAGAGAAGAAACAGAGAAAAGAAAATGTAAAAAAAAATTTTTTAAACAATGAAAACATTCCCAATCTATTGAAAAACATTAATCTATATATTTAGGAAGCCCAACAAATTAGTATATAAAACATTATATACTATACATTATATACTGAGCTTCCTCTAGGAAGCTCAACAAACTCATTTTTACATCATAGGGAAAATACTGGAAGTGAGGGCAAGATGGCTAACTATATGCAGCCAGGTGGAACAGCTCCCATCAAGGGACCAAGATGACTGGCATGCTCCTAACAGATTTTCAGAAAGAAGGCATTGAAAGTGGATGGAGAGATGACGCAGAAGCTGAGCTAAAGGCGGAGAACACTGGGAACCCTACACAAGGCTACAGTGCACCTGGACTGATTCCTGGCCCCAAATGCCTCTGGGAGAACAAATGAGTTGAACTGGCAATGAGCAACCTGCTCTTGCCACAGGCCTCTGGAACCCTGGCAGACCTCCAGTTGGCAGGGAGAGCTGCATAGAGAAGTGGTAGCAGCAGGAAGACAGCTGATATGGAGCCCAGAGGGTTTGGTGCAGAAGCATCTGTAGGAGAGCACAGCCAGGAATGGCCATGCCCCTAGACCTGACTTGCTCCCATAAGAGACTAGCCAAAGGGGAACTGTCAGTCCCGAACACTACAGGCACCCTGGCACCTGCTACCACCTGCCACAGCTGCCACTATTGCTGCTGCCGGCACATGTGAACAAAGACAGATCCCACTGTCACTGCATTACAAAACGTGTTTGCTGACACCACCTATCAGAGAGTAGTAACCCATAATCTGGGAGCATGTCAGCCCCCACAGTGCAGTGGATTTCTAACCTCAAAGAGCCAGAGAACAATGTCAAGGCCCAATACAAGTCCCCTAGAGTTAGGGCATACAGTCCAGGAAGAGTTGGCAGCTGAGTGTGGGCACCCCAAAATCTTCCAGAAATGAAGTCAGTTGTCTGAATCTACCTTATACTACACTCAAACCCCCAAGGTCATCAAATAGGATGAAGGAAGAAACATACAAAGGTCAGCAACCTCAAAAATTGAAGAAAGATAAGCCCACAAAGATGAGAAAGAATGAGCACAAGAACCCTAACAACTCAAAAAGCCAGAATGCCTTTTTTTTTTCTCCAAATGACTACATCACCTCTCCAGCAAGACTTCTGAACTGGGCTGAGATGGCTAAAATTAAACAAATATAATTCAGAATATGAACAGAAACAAAGATCATTGAGCTACAGAACTACATTGAAACCCAATCCAAACAAGTTAAAAATCATGATAAAACAATGGAGGAGGTGACAAACAAAATGGCCAGTATAGAAAGAATGTAACCAAACTGATAGAGCTGAAAGACACACTACAAGAATTTCATAATGCAATTACAAGTATTAATAGCAGAATAGACCAAGTGAAGAAAAGAATCTCAGAGCATCAAGACTGGCTTTCTGAAATAGGAAATTCAAACATGAATAGAGAAAAAAGAATAAAAAGGAATGAAGAAAAACCTCAAGAAATGTGGGATTATATAGAAATAAAATCTATGACTCACTGATGTTCCTGAAAGAGATGGGAGAATGGAACCAACATGGAAAACATTTCAGGATATCATCCGTGAGAACTTCCCCAACCTAGCGAGACAGGCTAACATTCAAATTCAGGAACAGCAGAGAACCCCAGTAAGATATTCCTCAAGAAGCACATTCCCAAGACACATAATCACTAGATTCTTGAAGGTCAAAATAAAATTTAAAAATGTTAAACTCAGCTAGAGAAAGGACAGGTCACCTACAAAGGGAAGACCATCAAACTAACAGCAGACCTCTCAGCATAAACCCTACAAGCCAGAAAAGATTGGAGTCTTATAGTCAATGTTCTTAAAGAAAAGATATTCTGCCCCATAATTTCATATCTGGCCAAACTAAGCTTCATGAGCAAAGGAGAAATAAGATCCTTTCAGACAAGCAAATGCTGAGGGAATTCATTACCACTAGGCTTGCCTTACAAAAAATCCTGAGTGAAGCACTAAATATAACAAGGGAAGACCATTCCCAGCCACTACAAAAACACACTGAAGCACACAGATCAGTGACACAATAAAGCAACCACATAAATAAGTCTGCAAAATAACCAGCCAACATCATGATGACAGGATCAAATTTACACATATTTTATTAGTCCGTTTTCATGCTGCTGATAAAGATATACCCAAGACCGGGCAATTTACAAAAGAAAGGTTTTATTGGACTTACAGTTTCAGGTGGCTGGGGAAGGCTCACAATCATGGTGGAAGGCAAGGAGGAGCAAGTCACGTCTTACATGGATGGCAGCAGGCAAAGAAAGAGCTTGTGCAAGGAAACTTTCCCTTATAGAACCATTAGATCTTGTGAGACTTATTCACTATTACAAGAAGAGCATGGGAAAGACCTGCCCCCATGATTCAATTACCTCCCACCAGGTCTGTCCCACAACATGTTGGAATTCAAGAATGAGATTTGAGTGGAGACACAGCTAAACCATATCACATACCAATACTAACCTTGAATATAAATGGGCTAAATGTCCCAATTCAAAGACACAGAGTGGCAAGCTGGATAACAAACTAAGACCCATTGGAATGCTGTCTTCAAGAGACCCATCTAACATGCAGTGACACACATATAGCTTCAAATAAAAGATGGTGAAAAGCCCACCAAGCAAATGGGAAACAGAAAAAAAAGTAAGGGTTGTAATCCTAGTTTCAGACAAAACAGACTTTAAAACAACAAAGATCAAAAAAGACAAAGAAGGGCAATACAGAAGGGTAAAGAGCTCAATTCAACAAGAAGGTCTAACTGTCCTAAATATATATGCACCCAACACAGGAATACCCAGATTCATAAAGCAAGTTCTTAGAAACCTTCAAAAAGACTTTAACTCCCATACAATAATAGTGGAAGACTTTAACACCCCCCTGATAGTATTAGACAGATCACTGAAACAGAAAATTAACAAAGATATTCAGGACCTGAACTCAGCACTGGATCAAATGGACCTGATAGACATCTACAGAACTCTCCAACCAAAAACAACAGAATATATATATTTTCTTCATCTGCACGTGGCACACACTCTAAAATTTATCATATGATTGGAAGTAAAACACTTCTTAGCAAACGCAAAAGAACTGAAATCATAACAATCTCTCAGACCATAGTACCATCAAATTAGAAATTAAGACTTAAAAATATACTTAAAATCATACAATTAATTGAAAATTCAATAACCTGCTCCTGAATGACTTTTTGGTAAATAAATAAATTAAGGTAAAAACCAAGAAGTTCCTTGAAACTAATGAGAACAAAGATAGAACATACCAGAATCTCTGCGACACAGCTAAGGCAGTGTTAAGAGGCAGTTTTGTAGTACTAAAATGCCCACATCAAAAAGCTAGAAATATCTCAAGTTAACAAGCCAACATCACAACCGAAAGAACTAGAGAACCAAGAGCAAACCAACCCCAAAGCTAGCAGAAGACAAAAAATAACCAAAATCAAAGCTGAACTGAAACAGATTGAGATATGGAAAACCATTAAAAAAATCAGTAAATCCAGAAGTTGTTCTTTTAAGAAACAATTGATAAAATAGCTATCTAGACTAATAAAGAAGAAAAGAGAGAAGATTCAAATAAAAGCAATCAGAAATGACAAGAGGGATATTACCACTGACCTCATATAAATACAAATAACCATCAGGAAATATTATAATCATTTCTATGCACATAAAATAGAAAATCTGGGGGAAAAAAGGATAAATTCCTGGACACATACACCCTCCCAAGACTAAACCAGGAAGAAACTAAATCCCTGAACAGACCAATAATGAGTTCTGAAATTGAGGTGGTAATAAATAGCCTATCAACCAAAAAAAGGCTAGGATCAGACAGATTAATAGCTGAATTCTACCAGATATACAAAGAAAAGCTGGTACCCTTGCTGCTGAAACAATTCCAAAAAAAATGAGGAAGAGGGAGTCATCCCTAACTCATTCTATGAGGCCAGCATCATCCTGATATCAAAACCTGGCAGAGACACAACAACAACAAAAAAATACTTCAGGCCAATATTCTTGATGAACATCAGTGCAAAAATCCTCAACAAGATACTGGCAAATCAAATCCGACAGCACATCAAAAAGCTTATCTACAATGAACAAATGGGCTTATCATCCGTGGGCTGCAGGGTTAGTTCAACATACTCAAATCAATAAATTGAGTCATTACTGAAACAGAACTAAAGACAAAACCACCTGATTATTTCAATAGATGCAGAAAAGCCTTTCAATGAAAACACTGCTTCATGTTAAGAACTCTCAATAAAATGGGTATTGAAAGAAAACACCTCAAAATAATAAGAGTCATCTATGATAAGCCCTCAGCCAATATCATACTGAATGGGCTAAAGCTGAAAGCATTGACCCTGAAAACTGGCACAAGACAAAGATGCCCTCTCTCACTGCTCCTATTCAATACAGTATGGAAAGTCCTGGCCAGGGCAAGCAGGCAAGAGAAAGAAAGAAAGTGTATACAATTAGGAAGAAAGAAATCAAACTATCCCTGTTTGCATATGACATAATCCTATATCTAGAAAACTCCATAGTCTCAGCCCAAAAGCTCCTTAAGCTGATAAACAACTTTGGCAAAGTTTCAAGATACAAAATCAACATTTAAAAAAGTCACTAGCATTCTTATATGCCAATGATCATCAAGCTGAGAGCCAAAGCAGAAATGCAATTCCATTTACAATGACTACATAAAGATTAAAACAACTAAGAATACAGTTAACCAGGGATGTGAAAGATCTCTACAAGGAGAACTACAAAACACTGCTCAAAGAAATCAGAGATAACACAAACAAATGGAAAATCATTTCATGCTCATGGATACGAAGAACTAATATTGTTAAAATGTGCCATACTGCCCAAAGTTATTTATAGTGCTATTTCTATTCAACTATCATTGATATTCTTCACAAAACTAGAAAAAAAACTTTACAATTCATAAAGAACCAAAAAAGAGCGTGAATAGCCAAGGTAATCCTATGCAAAAAGAACAAAGCTGGGGGCATCACACTACACTACCTGACTTCAAACTACACAGTTAGGATAACTGGATACCCATATGCAGAAGATTGAAACTGGACTCCTTCCTTACACCATATACAAAAATCAACTCAAGATGGATCAAAAACTTAAATATGAAACCCAAAAGTATAAAAACCCTGGAAGACAACCTAGGCAATACCATTCAGGACATAGGAATGAGCAAAGATTTCATGATGAAGATACCAAAAGCAATTGTAACAAATGCAAAAATTGACAAATGGGATCCAATTAATCTAAAGAGCTTCTGAACAGCAAAGGAAACTATCAAGAGAGTCAACAGACAACTTACAGAATGTGAGAAAATTTTTGCAATCTATGCATCTGACAAAAGTTTAATATCCAGCATTGATCAGGAACTTAAAGAAATTTACAAGACAAAAACAACTTCATTAAAATGTGGGCAAAGGACATGAACAAACACGTTTCAAAAGAAGACATTCATATGGCCAATAATCATATTAAAAAACATCTCAACCTACTGATCATTAGAAAAATGCAAATCAAAATCCCAATGGGATACCATCTCCCACCAATCAGAATGCCTTTTATTAAAAAGTCAAAAAATAACAGATGCCATTGTGGTTGTCAAGAAAATGGAACACTTATACACTGGTATTGAGAATATGGAAATCAACCTAAATGCCCATCAATGATAGACTGGATTAAAAAAATGTGGTACATATACACCATGAAATACCATGCAGCCATAACAAAGAATGAGATCATGTCCTTTGCAGGAACGTGGTTGGAGCTGAAGGCCATCATCCTTAGCAAACTACTGCAGGAACAGAAAGCCAAATATCATATGTTCTCACTTGTAAGTGGTAGCTAAATGGTGCAATCACATGGACAAATAGAGGGGAACAACACACACTGCAGCCTATCAGAGTGTGGAGGACGGGAGGAAAAAAAAATAACTAACGCGTACTAGGCTTAATACCTGGGTGTTGAAACAATCTGAACAACAAACGCCCATGACACAAGTTTACCTATGTAACAAACCTGTACCCCTGAACATAAAATAAAATTTAAAAAGAAAACAAACTAAAAGCCAAAGGCAAGAAGAAATCTTGAATTAAGCAAGCAAAGCATTATGTATCTTTTACAAAGGAATCCCAAAAAGATTAACAGTGGAATTCTGATAAAAAAAAAAATGGCATCAAAGGGTAGTAGGATAAGATATTTAAAGTGCTTAAGGAAAAAACTGTCAATCTCCTATATCCAGTATACATGTATTTTAAAAATGAAAGAAAAATAATTACATTCTTAAGGAGACAAAAGCAATGAAAACCTTTTGCTAGCATACCCACCTTACAGTAAATGCTAAAGCATGATCTTCAGGCTGAAAGCTAGTGACCTCAGACTGATTTCTACTCACAAACACACTCAAAATAATACCAAAAAAGGTAATTGTGCAGTTATAAAAGACAGTATAAACCTTTCTTTTCCTTTCTTAACTCATTTAAAAAGCAGATGTATAAAGCGATATGCATATAATATTTTGTTGGGCCTATAACAAATAAAAATTAAATATATTTGCCAGTAACAGGAGGTCACAGTGGGAGCAAAGTTGTATTGGTCTAAGAAAATGACTCCAGATGATAACGTGAATCTATGGGAAAAATTGACAAGAACCAGAGATGATAAATAAGAAGTTTAATATAAGAAGAGCTTGTTATACTTATTCTCCTTTCTATATCCAAACCTCCATCATCTGCCCAATCTAAGATAGTGTCTTCTGTCTACATCACTGTTTCTTAAAGGCACTAATTTTCTCTCTATTTGTAGTCTATGCACTCATCATATTCTCTTTAATGATTCCGGCTTTAGTCAAATAAAGAAAAATCCAAAAAAGGGAAATACCTTTCTGGCAACTTATACTTTTAGTTTTTTGGCACAAACTTTTTCTGAGAAAAGGGTCAAAAAAGAACTTGGGCAATTGCAAGGAACAGGGGAGAGGACAATGCAAAATAAACATATATATTTTATTAAATTATCTATCTGCTCAAGCTTATAAACTGTCATCTTCACAATATTTATTTCCTACCTTTTATTGTCTAACCAACTTATGAATTCCTGAAAAATGTTTGTTAAAATATAACATTATGATTTCTGTTTTGACAGTTCTTTTTTGTGTTTTATTGACATTATATGTTCCTATGATGATATTTCCATTGCATAAATATTTATGACCCTTACTTCTTGGGAGATTGAAACTTTTATTACTATATAATATCACTTTTCCCCATTTAATATTTTAGTCTTAAAATTACTTTATTGACTTACTTTTACTTCCTGTGTCTTATTATTTGTTAGCATTAATCTATTAAATATTTTCCAGTACAATTTTTGTACTCTCAGGCATTGTTCTATTAAATAGCATATGTCTTCAAGATATAATTTTTAAGAGTTTACCCTGACTCCTGCCTATATCTGTTTTCTGTGCTCTGATTGCTTAATCAATCAAATAACTCTGGATAATACCTCCTAAAATTTCTTGAAATGTTACTGTCTTTTAATGGTACCCTGCCTTGTTTCTGGTCCCCTTATAGGTTTATTCTAGAAGAATAGAAAGACAAGCAGATATGAATATATGTCCATATTATATGGATATGAAAAGACACAGATATAGTTTCCATCCTTTCAAAATGATTTGGATGGAAAAGAAAGAATATGCATATGTTTAGCATGCCCTCTTTAAATATGATGAACTTAGGTTCACACAGAGTAAGTGATTTGCCCAAACTGAAAGAATGCATTAATAAGCAGAAAGAAAACTAAAGCACTGAGCTCTTAATTTCTATTCAAGAGCCCTTTTCACTAAAGTGTATCTTCAATATACACATTTTTAAAATTTATAGCACATAAAAAATTAACTAAAAACATAATGGTTTTGAGAAAGCACTTCTAAAAGACCTTTATAAGTATTGCTTAGAATTGAAATGTAGCAATTGTTACAGAAGCTCTCCACTTATTAAACTGGAAATAGCTCCCTTTTTAATAAAACCAATGCATTAGAAAGTCAATGTATACCCTATTGATGTGCTCATTAGAAGTGGAGACTGAGTTACAAAGATCAATCAACAGCTATCCAATGCAGGATTTCAAGGGGACATCATTGGCCCTGCCCCCACATACCAATCTATAGGTGTTCTATCTCTAAACCACCCACAGTGCTCAGATCTTTATTTCTTACTGATTTAGCTTACCTTTCCCCAGCATTTCATATCATTTTTAATCAAAAATTTCTCTCCTGTTTATCTCTAACCTGTTTATTGACCCTGTGTTTATAGGCAGGACTCAGATATGACAGAAATTGAAAGCTGTAGGAGGCTGCAAAGTTGGATCGTTTTTATTGAAGCTCTCAGAAGATTAACCACATGACCCTGTGATTTATAATAGCAGTTATAAGCCAATGAGTTTCATACAATTGAATAGATTTCACAAATATTCTCCACATCAAAACTCACAAAGGCTGCCTTTTTCTACTAATCATTTTTACTAGCATTGTTATTGTTAATGGACAAATAAAAAAAATTACACTGAGATTAACATGCCAGATTTTAACTCTAAATTTTTTATGTCCCAAAGAATAAATTCACATTATAAAAATAGGCCCAGCTTCAAATTAGAAACAGAGTACAGAGTGAATAAATAAATAAGCAGAGTAATTCTCCAATGGAGGATCTAAAATGGGCGTAAAATTAAAATGACCTTGTAAGATTGGAAAATGTCCTGCAAAAGAGTGCATTTTAGAAGGAAAAAAGTGCCAAGAGATCCTTTTAGAAGATAAATAATTAAGAATTCCAAATATAGGATATAATATTATGAGTCAGTCCCCTTCCCATATACCACTGATTTCATATATATATATACATATATATAGAGAGAGAGAGAATAACACACTTTTCCATAAAGTACTATTATACGTGATCCTATGTCCCCATGTTAGTTCACAAAGACATATAACTCATAATAAAGCCAAAGTTACTTGACATGTATATTTAAAGTAAAAAACATATACTGATAAGTTATTTTTCTTTTAAACATTAAAATACTATTTAAGTTTATAATCTATATAAGAAAAAATAAACAAATACAAAGTTTGTCAGAGCATTAACTGATGCTTGTTATTGTTTCTACTTGTTATCAATTAATACTCAGCCTACTTGCAAACAAATTGAGCCCATTTATAAGTTATGCAACAAAAAAGTGTAAAACATGGGTGGAATCATTTTTTGCTCCATATTCTCTCTCCTTCACCCTTCCCAGAGATATACACCCTGTAGTGCAGAAATGTTGTTGTTTATGTACCGTGTGGTACAGAGACAGCAAACTGTTTAGAAAAAAGTGATTACATTCCAACAAAATGACAATGTTTAAGGAGGCTCACTTAGTTATCGGAGATATTCACTAGGTCTCAGTGTTCTCTAGAGGCTAAACAGATTGCTTTTGCTAATACTGTGAGATAAAAAACAGAAGAGACTAACAGAACGTTTAGAGAAGAAAGCACATAGGGTGCCAGAAATATCAGTCCTGGTCCTCCCTTGCCCTCTATCTCTTTGGAGAATGAGAGAATTGTATCAGAAAGATGTTTCCCAATGGATGGATGGACTTTAATATAAAAACTGGGGCTTGCTTCCCCTCTGGTAATTTCTGAAGGCTGACAATCTATTATTACATGGGAATTGGCATAGAACCATGCTACTACCCGAGTGGCTACTCAGCCAACCAGAGGAAAACAACCCAGAGAAGAGACTGAGAGTATACGTTGCTGGCAGAGCCCAAATAGAGACACAGCTAACCTTCTGTTTTTCTGTCATGGAAAAGGCCAAGTTGAAGCTGCAAAAAGAAACATGCAAAAAAATGACTATGCTAAAATCACACCCATCAGACCAAACCAGATTGAGTAGAAGGATCTTTTCCCATACATACTACCCATCACATTATCAGACATTCCTTCCTCCCTGGCCCTCTACCTATAAGGAAGGAGGGAAGTGAGACCCATGAGTATACACACTCAAGATAGAAGAGTGCAGAGGAAGGAATTTCAGAAAGGAGGGATCTTGAACTCTAAAAAATGATTGAAATAATGCTTATATCAAATTTCTTACTGACTATTCACCCAAGAGAAACAAGTTTTGATAACTAGATTAATTATTAATGATATTGGAATGGATGAAGATTTAATCAAGAATGGGGGGAAAGTTAAGATTCCTGCTCTCAGCAAATTTATGGATCCAGAGCCAAGAATTATACGTGTAGTTTTCAAACTAAAGCAAGCTTTATATTTGAAGACATCTATATTTGAAGACATTTGAGAGTTATCAGATAAACCAGGTGCACATAATAGGAAAGTACATACCTGTAGAGTTATGCAGCTCACCTAAGCTGGGACCATGAAAGTCCCTATCCAGAAAATGAAGACTTAGAATGCCAAGAGCATTCTATTTCAGTCTGCTTTGTCTTTTGCTTTTGAAACTTCTATTGTTACTGCTTTTGCTGTTGTTTTGTATTTTGGCATTTAATTGGGTTCATTGGTTGAGTTTAGCTATCTGCTCTATCAAGCTTTGTCCTAAGGGGTAGAGAAATAATCAGCTCAGCCTGAGTCACATGCCCAACCCCTAGAAAATAGTAAACATGATACTATAGTTGAATGGTTAATGCAGAACCAGTTGTGATAGGAAAGAGGACACTCCCACAAAGAAAAGGTACTGAAAGAAAAAAAAAACTGTAAGCTTACTACCTGAGTAAAAGAACAAGAAGAACAGAGGAAGACATGAAAGAGAATAGTTATGTGAAAAATTCCAGACTAAGAATTCCTACTGAACTTCACAGTTAAATCAAAAAGAGAAAGAATAATGAAATTGTTCCTGAAAACTAGTAAGATAATGCAGAGCAGTTAATTGGGAGAAATAAAACTTAGCTGCATAGTACATAGTGCTTTCCTTAGAAGGTTTATATAACAATCCTCAATTAAAAAAGAAAAAAATAAGTATTAGACAGGACAGGAAGAAAGATTGGGCATCATATATTAAATTATAATTATATGATGCCTTATTTTGGAGAATTAAAGGAAAACTACCAACCATTTAACTTTCTGATAATCTGATGTATTAGTCTATTTTCACACTGCTGTAAAGATACTACCTGAGACTGGATAATTTATAAACAAAAGAAGTTTAATTGACTCACAGTTCCACATGGCTGCGGAGGCCTCAGGAAAGTTACAATCATGGCAGAAGGCAAAGGAGAAGCAAGCACCTTCTTCACAAGTCAGCAGGGGAGAGAGACAGAAGGAGAAAACACCAGACACTTATCAAACAACCAGATCTCATGAGAACTCACTCACTATCAAGAGACCAGCATGGGGGAAACCACCCCTATTATCCAGTCACCTCCCACCAGGTACCACCCTCAACATATGGATTACAATTTGAAATGAGATTAGGGTGGGAACACAGCCAAACCATATCATTCTACCCTGGCCTCCCGAATCTCATGTCCTTTTCACATTTCAAAACCAGTCATGCCATCATGTCTTTCCAATAGTCCTTCAAAGTCTTAACTCATTCCAGCGTTAACTCAAAAGTCCAAGTCCAAAGTCCCATCTGAAGCAAGGCAAGTTGTTCTGCCTATAGCCTATAAAATCAAAAGCAAGTTAGTTACTTCCCAGATACAATGGGGGTACAGGCATGGGGTAAACACACCCACTCCAAATGGGAGAAAGCCAAATCAGAGGAGCCGCAGGCCTCAAGCAAGTCTGAAACCAGGCCAGGCAGTCATTACATCTTAAAGCTCCAAAATCTTTTTTGTCTCCTTGTCTCATATCTAGGACATGCTGATGCAAGGAGTGGGCTCCCACAGCCTTGGGCAGCTTTGCCCCTGTGGCTCTGCAAGGTACAGCCCCTGTGGCTGCTTTCATGGGCTGGTGTTGAGTGCCTGAAACTTTTCCATGTGCATGGTGTAAGCTGTCAGACAATCTACCTTTCTGGGGTCTGGAGGATGGTGGTCTTCTTCTCACAGCTGCACTAGGCAGTGCCCCAGTGGGGGCTCTGTGTAGGGGATTCCGCCCCATGTTTCCCTTCCACACTGCCCTAGCAGAGGTTCTCCATGAGGGCTCTGCCCCTGCCTGGACATCCAGGCATTTTTATACATCCTCTAAAATCTAGGCAGAGGTTCCCAAAGCTTAACTCTTGTCTTCTGTGCACCTGCAGGCCCAGCATCACATGGACGCTGCCAAAGCTTGGGGTTTGTACCCTCTAAAGCAATGGCCCAAGCTGTATCTTGGCCCCTTTTAGGCATGGCTGTAGCTGGAGCAGCTGGGATGCAGGGTGCCAAGTCCCAAGGCTGCACAGAGCAGCAAGGCCCTTGGCCTGACCCACAAAACCATTTTTCCCTTCTAGGCCTCCAGGCCTGTGATGGGAGAGGCTGCTCTGTAGATCTTTGGAATGCACTGGTGACATTTTCCCCACTGTCTTGGTGATTAACATTCAGCTCATGATTTATGCAAATTTCTGTAGCAGCCTTTGATTTATCCCCAGAAAATGGGTTTTTCTTTTTTACCACATGGTCAGGCTGCACATTTTCCAAACCTTTAGGCCCTGCTTCCATTTTAAACATAAGTTCCAATTTCAAACCATCTCTCTATGAGCATATATAACTATATGCTTTCAGGAAATGCCAGGTCACATCTTGAATGCTTTGTTGTTTAGAAATTTCTTCTGCCATATGCCCTAAATGATCTCTCTCAAGTTGGAAGTTCCACAGATCTCTAGGGCAGGGACAAGATGCCACCAGTCTTTTTGGTAAAGCATAGTAGCAGTGATTTTTGCTCCAGTTTGCAATAAATTCCTCATGTCCATCTGAGACCATCTCAGCATGGACTTCATTGTCCATATCTCTATCAGCATTTTGGTCAAAACCATTCAACAAGTCTCTAGAAGTTACAAACTTTCCCACATACCTCTGTCTTCTTCTGAGCCCTGCAAATTTTTATGACCTATGCTAGTTACCCAGTTACAAAGTCACTTCCACATTTTCAGGTTATCTTTATATTAACAGCAGTGCTCCAAACACGTGGTACCAATTCCTGTATTAGTCCATTTTCACATTGCTATAAAGATACTACCTGAGACTGGATAATTTATATACAAAAGAAGTTTATTTGACTCACATTTCCACATTGACAGGGAGGCCTCAGGAAACTTACAATCATGGCAGAAGGAAAAGGAGAAGCAAGCACCTTCTTCCCAGGCAGCAGGAGGTAGAGAGAGAAGGGGAAAGCACCAGAGACTTATCAAACAACCAGATTTCATAAGAACTCACTCCCTATCATGAGAACAGCATGGAGGAAACTGCCCCCATGACCTAGTCACCTCCCACCAGGTCCCTCCCTCAACACTTGCGGATTACAATTCAGATTAGAATTTGAGATGAGATTTGGGTGGGGACACAGCCAAACCATATCACCTAATCCGTACTCAGACAGATTGATGGGTATAATGTGATCTTTGTTTTAGTGATTCTCCAAACTCAGCTGCATCCTAGAATCACCAGGAGTACTTATAAAAAATGAGGACTTCATTGGTTTAAATTGAAGCCTGAGAAGTTGTATTTAATAATGCCTCTAGCAATTCTGATTTAGGTAACCATGCTTGGGAACTATTTGACTTTATATATACTATTCTCTCAAATATTGACTGTCTGAACCATTTGTATAATAGGTCATTGGATGTTTTTCCCACATATCCATCTGCCTTTGCCCTGCTCTCCTCTGTCTCTCATTGGTGTGTGTAGGAGGCTGGGGGAAGAGTTGACTCTGTAGGCTCTTTTTCCTAGGCTGCTGTTATCTGGCTTCCAGACAGGTTTAGTGAAGGGGAAGTACTGGTAGGATTTTTGATAGGAGGGAAAAAAGAAAGGCCAGGGTATTCCTACCATCACCACCACCACCATCCCTACACTTCTACCATGCTCCTGTACTCCCACCCATCACCCCTGCCTGGGGTTGCATTTGAAATGTTGGTCTTGTCTCTTTCATGGCTCCACCTCTATGATGGGCAGCCCTTAGTAGAGTGCCCTGACTTCTATGGTTTGGTAACCATATCTCATTTCTTTTCCTGGACTTTGGAGAGCCCTGGGAATAGAAGTCATTTCCAGCTGCTGTTGAGCTCTTGGTTGTCTCACAGTTCCCTGTTTGGCTTCCCAGTCTTCCATAATCCATGTGACTGATTCTCTGTATTAAATTATTTCAATTTGAAAACCTACAGCGAAGTTCAACCATATCATGCCTGATGCTGTGTGATTAATTGAAAGGAGACCAGTATATTTCAGGTAACAGCCACGTATGTAATAAAATTGACATTTCAGATGACAGTTGAATAGGTAGCAAAGGCGCCTATAAATGTATATAAAGATGACTTGTAATTTTCACCATTTAGAAGGCTACCATAATACTGTATTAGAGTGGAGATGAGTTTCGTTATTGCCTAGAGATATGGTAGACTATACTCAGAAAACAGCTTTGTATTGGCTCAAATGTTTTAACATGTTTGGTTAAAATCCATTTTCTACATGATAATATATAGAAAAGTTAGTTTGGCCTAAAACTTCTGATAGCAGAAGTTATCAATTATTTTATCATAAAAGAAGTTTTGTTTGGTTCCTCTGGAATAGAAAAGTTAGGATCTTCAAAACACACTCACAGATCACAGATCACTGATCACTGGAAGACTGTTCCAGGATTATTTGATTTGGGCATAGTCGATATAGTTGCTATAAATTTGGTTAGGTCCTAAGTTACTCCCAGAATATGAAAAGCAGCACACTATTATTAAAACTGTACTGATAAAATATTTTTATTTAGATTGAATGCAGATATTGAATAAAACCTTTCATGAGAGAAGAAACAGAATATAGATAAGGACTTATTTGTGCGGTAATTCTAGGTTATCTTTTCTCCAAATATTCTCGTGGTTGCCGTCACTGGTTGTTAGAGAAGATTGGGTGATATTGTTAGCTAATTACACTAAAAGATTGACTGCATATATACTCATTAACAGCTAGAAACTTAACATAGAACTTTTCACCCAATTAGCAACAATAACTAGGTACATTAAGACTCTACTAGAGCATCTTCTCAAAAGAATGTTTATTACACGGCACTACACTCGTAAGTAACTGTTACTTTCCCTGTTAGAATGAAAACTCCACGAAGGCATAAACTATTGCTATTTTATCTCTAGTCACCGTATTTAGGACAGTCCTTGGCACAGAGCAATTGATGAGAAAATATTGGTAGTATAGAAATTAATTAAACTGAGCCGAATTGAATTGAGAGAATTTTTAATTTATATTTTGTACTAAAATCTTTCTAGAACATAATGAAAGCTCTTAATATAAACAATATTCTCTCCTTCCTTGTCCTGGAAAAAAAGAGAGAGTGTGACTCTCGAGACTCTCCAGCTTTCCCGTTGAGATCAGGAGACCAGGAATGAAATGGTAACCAGGCCGGCAAGTGTGGCTTGCTCAGTGGCTACTGAACTGATTCTCTGCTATCCATACCTTTGACTGCCGTGACCAAAAAGAAACACCATTTCTTAAAAATACCCCTTTTTAAAATACCAAATTATTTCTCACAAGTAAATGATGAATGAGAAAGAGAGGATACATTATTAGAAGTAGCCGTACACCTGACAGTTATGCACACATAGATATCCTTTAAATTTAAAAGTACAACACATTATTTAAATAATTTGTAGCTATAGATATGGTTCACAAAATAAAATCATATGTAGGAGTGGGTGTGCTGGATCATTCCATTGTCAATTTCATAGAGCTGGGAACTATGTGATTCAGAATTCCCTTCCCTATATGGTTCCAGGTTAGAATTGGACACAAGAGGAAGCTGTATCAGATTTGAGATGCAAAAAAATGGAGTAATGATGTCTAAGTCTGCTATAACAAAATATAATGGACTAGATGGCTCATAAACAATAGAAATTTGTTTCTCACATTTCTGGAAGCTTGGAAGTCCATGATCAAGTTACCAGCAGATCTGATATCTGGTGAAGACCTGCCTTTTCATAGATGGTCATCTTCTTCTTGTTTATTCACATGACAGAAGGGGTGAGAGGTCTCTCTGGGGCTTCTTTTATGGCACTGCTCCCATTCATG
The DNA here is from genome assembly GCF_000001405.40 of Homo sapiens. Classification (NCBI taxonomy): domain Eukaryota; kingdom Metazoa; phylum Chordata; class Mammalia; order Primates; family Hominidae; genus Homo; species Homo sapiens. Next base: position 96,847,915 of record NC_000011.10, on the reverse strand, counting down.
AAGGCTCTACCCTCATCACCTTATCACATCCCAAAGACCCCACCTCCTAGTACCATCATCTTGGGTTTTGGAATTTCACCATATTAATTTGAGGGGGATGCATGTATTGTCTATTGCAAATAGCCATTATGCTCTGAAAGACCCCAAGGTCTTAATACTATAATGGATAGACACAGAGGCACACACCTGGATCCAGTATGCCATCTCTTTCCTCCACTTTGTATCCAGCTTTTTCTTCCCAACTGATGGCCAGGCTGAAGAACAGCAGCCTCAGCCCTCCCCAAGATGCTTACCTGTTCACCCCAGAGGTATTAACTGCACAGACACCAGAGCTATCCATAGCCCAGTGTCCCCTTGGCTGCAGCCATACCACAACTTGTTTGTCAGATATCTTGAAAGGTCCTACTTGTCCACCTGTGCCAGTGGTCTTCCAGCTCCCTCATCTAGAACTTGCTTTTTTAGCTCCCCCAACAATTGAATAATGAATCCTTCATCACACATCACCTGTAGTGCTTCTGCTTCCCTAATTGGCCTCGACTGATACAATAGATTTTTGATGTCAAACATTATTGTTAGGATATCTCTCTTCTCCAGTTTCATGAAATTAGATATCGATACCTATTGATAAGAGTAATTGTAATTTTAAAAGATTTGTGGAATAAAATGTGCTATTCTTTTACAAAGAGAACAACTGCATTTATATCTGGATACTATGTAACTTCTAGAGAACCTTCATAATATTTTATATTAGTAATATCATAAGTAAATCGACACCAAGGTAATTCTATTTATTTATATAACAATATCAGCATATTATTTGAAACTTTTTATTTTCATTTTTTAAATATTTGTCATTGTTTAATATATATTAATATAACTGATATCAGGAGAAAAGTGCATGTTTTATCTCTTCCTCCTTTTAATGTCTCACTACATAAAATTATGTCCAAAAACATAAAGAAGTGTTTAAGGAATCAGAGATTATTTGACCTAAAAGAGGCTCAAAAGCTAACTCCCCATACCTTTGTTCCTATTCTTGTGATTTCACTTAATCATTTTATGTAGATACATATTATTGACTAGGCTGTGAGTTTGAGAGCAAATTTTCTTGAGAACAAGAATTGCATCCTATCGACATTGGAATACCCAGTGACTAGCATAGTATCTGACACAAGTTGTCATAACATTTTTGAATAAATGAATGTATGAAATATTTGGCCACCCCTGCCTTCTGTCAGGTACCCTTTCCTACTTACTATAGTTGCATAACAAATTATTCTAAAACGTATTGGTTAAAAACAAAAAGTCATTTAGTATATCTCATTGCTTCTGTGGTTCAGAAATTAATGAGCAGCTGAGCTAGCTGGTTGGCTCTGGCTTAGCGTTTCTCATGGTGTTATAAACAGATGGTAGCAGAGGTTGAGGTCATCTCAAGTTTCTTCATTCCTTTGTCTGGTGCAGTGTTAGGAATACTCAAACAGCTGGGACTGGAACACTTGGGGCTCCTTGCACATCTTCTCTCTGTGTCTTTATAGTGTCTCCATATGATCTCCATAACATGGTGGCTTCAGTTGTAGCCAGACTTCTTGAGGCTGGCTCAAGACTCCCAATGTCTCTAAAAGAGAGGCAAGCGGATGCTGTATTGCCTTTAATGATCCAGCTTAGAAGTCATGTGGTATGGTGCCATTTTCACCCCTTTCTATTCACTAGTGAGTGACTACGGCCAATTTGCATCCAAGGCAAGGAGAATTAAGCTCTTCCTTGTATGGGAGGAGTATCAAAGAACTTGCAGGCAGGCTTTAAAGCTTCCACATTCCTCATACAAATTCACACAAATGTTTGATGCTTTCTTAAGTCACACCACTCAGCAGTTTTGATACTCTACTAAAAATACAAAAAAAAAAAAAAATTAGCCAGGAGTGGTGGCATGCACCTGTAGTCCCAGCTACTTGGGAGGTTGAGGCAGAAGAATCGCTTGAACCTGGGTGATAGGGGGAGGCTCCGTCTCAAAAAAAGAAGAAAGAAAGGGTCTATGTTTTCTTAACAATAGCTTTCTAGTATATTTATAAGCTCAGAAAATGGTTATCATGAATGTAACAGTGGATTTCACTTGCATCAGGTTCTAACTTTCCCTTTAGACCACCAATATCCCTCTAAATGTCAAAGCTCTAACTTCTGTTTTGAGGGTGTTATAATACCCAGGGCCATCGAAAAGTGGAGTTTCCACAAGGGGCAGTTTATATGGGGCTCATCAAAGTTGTAAAGCACAGACACTTCTGCTGGATGGTTCATGAGAGTAATGCACATGTATGTTAAAAAAAAAAAAAAAGAAGAAGCCTTCACCAGAGAGTAGAGAGGATATTCCAGCAAGCTTGGGAGCTTATCCCAATGGTTAAGAGTAACTATCAGTCATTGGCTCCCCTATGCATGATTCCTCAAATTTGGCAACATATACTATGTTGGGTTGTCTCTCAAAACTTACTTCCTGTTTTTTATGTGGTCCTTCCCTGTGTCGTCTCTGCTTAGGCCCAATGGACTTTCCCTCTCATGCACATGAGCTCCTGAATACGCCTAGAAATTAACTTCCCACAGAGTGAAATAATATGACTCCAACATTGGAATAATCCAACATTCTCTTTTCTGTCTGTTTTTGTAGCATAAGCTCTATGACCTTCTTATTTCAGTAGACTTTACTTTTGATAGCCAAGGGGTTTTTCATTCAATAAACAAATATATATTAATCGCCTTTTATATACCACACACTATTTTACATATTTAGGATATATCAAATGAGCAAAACAAATAAATGTCTCTGCTCTTGTAACTCTATAATGAACATAACAAATGAATTATATAATGAGAAGTGCTGTGGATAAAATATAAAATAGAGCAGAGAAAGTCTGATCAGAGCAGGAAAGGGGAAGGCAGGTTGCATACCAAAAGTTCTGCTTTCACCATCACTTTTTTTTATATATATATGCTTTAGGACAAGGATATTTCAAAAGTACAAAACTAAACTTCTTTCTTTTTCATTCCTGCAACTCCCCTAATGTTCCTCAAGGCAATGTATTATCTCTGCCTGCTAAAGGCAAAGCTGTTTTGCAGAAGTGTGGAAAAGAAAGGCACACAAATTAATATTTTAGAATGCTCTCTCACTATATCAATATTAGAGCCTACACATTCCAGAGACAAGAATCTTCTTACAAGGATTAAATTCCTCCCTCATTCTTACTAAGATATAATTATTATTTTTAAATAACTCTCTTCAAGGAAGAGAGAAAAACCATAAAATATGCATGAACAAAAATATGCATGATTACCAATCCTCTGGAAATGAAAAAATGTCTTTTAATAAGCTGACTACCTGTTCCTATCAACCCAATTACTTAACATTGCAAGAATGCATCATATAATGCCATCAACATAAATAACACCCTGTAGGAAAGATCTGAAATCTGCCTTGAACTTCTGTAATAAAATCATTCTGAAAAATAAGCAAAATAAAAATAAAAACACAGAAAAACTTGAGCAATATAATTTTTAAAGTTAGCACTTTCTTTAGAGATTATTGTTAAGATACAATGCTGTGACTAAAAAAAAAGTATTGAAATAATTAAACGTTTTGCCCTTTCATGCCTCACCCTATTTATACCTTGTAAGTCTTTGTCTTAGACACATGGAGTGATAGAAAAGTATAAAGAATCTGAAGTCAAAGGTACTTGCTGTGTTTTCTAAAAAATCCATAGTCTTTTGACAAGATAAAATTAAGAGAGAGAGAGAGAGAGAGTCTGTGTGTGTGTGTATGTATCGTGTCTGTGTGTGTGTGTATTGTGTCTGTGTGTGTCTGTGTGTCTGTGGTTGGGCAAAGAAAGGCCTTTGGAGACAAAGAAAAATGATAGATTACTCCTGATGGGAAAGAGAAGAGAGATCAGTGGGTGGTGTTGTGAGAGTAAAATTTTTGACGATATATGATAACAGCCCAGAAATCAGAAAGAATGGCTGTAGGACGCACGCTGGAACCAGATTTAAAGGAAAGGGTCTCAATATCATCAAAAATGTTATGCCATCAATGTAGAGTGTCTCAAAACATATGACAAAGCAGGTTTAAAGAATGACAAAGAAACTCATACACATATAGGCAATGAAAAACAGATAGAAAATTCTAGAATAAAATTGCTAAATTACAAAACCATTGTCCACAATGAAGGTCAAGTACTCTTTTTCTTTTCCTTACTTACAAATTTTTATTACTTTTTTCCACATGTAGAAGTTGTAGACCCATTCATACTAAGGGACCAGCTACAGGATGATATGCAATGGGCAGGTCCACAGAAAGTATCTAATTAAAAATATCTAGATGGATACCTGGAATCATTGACACACTCCTAGGAGCAGGAGGAAAGGAAAATCCAAATGACTACAGTTAATTTTTCCATCAGCCAAGCAGGATGGGGATTTGGACATTGACTTGGCAAAGAATAATTAATAAATGTCACGTTTTTGCACAACATAACATGATATCTAGAATTTATTCTCAATAACAAATAGCACAATTAGATTATGAGATGCCAAAAGTGCATAAGAAGAACACAAGAACCCAAAAGAAAATCAACATAAATGGTCTATGCTTTGTCTCTCTTAAAAATAGCTATACTTACTATGGGTTGTGGTGATTACAGTAATAGCGTGGATGGAATGGGAATGAATTGAAGAAAGCATCATAATATGATAAAAAGCTGTCACCTTATTGAGATTGTGAAATGTCTGCATTTTTAATTTTGGCTTAAGAAATCATAGAGCCTGGCCCTATGATAGTGGAGAGCAATAGGCTGTTATGCATTGTTCATGTTTCCACTGACAAGATCAGCTTGATGCCCCTCTATCTGAATCTGAAGTCAATGAGGGAGCATGGCCACAAATGATGTCCTGGTATGATAACAGAAAATTATTACTCTGGTCTGTTGCTCCATTTCATCCTGTTGTGTTAATGGGCATGTTCAGAACTCTTTTCGCTCCTTTCCTACTTGCTCATCTATGAAACCTTAGCAAATCACTTTTCTCTCCAGGCAGAGTGTATCCACCTATGAAGTGACAGATCAGACTCCAGCCTCTTTCCAGCTCTCACAGTCTGTGCTTCAACATACCTACCCACCAAGCTCTTTATTAAAATATGGCTAGCCAGCATTCGAAACCTGGACTGCTGATGATCACAACCAAAACCTAAGGCAATACTGATAAATGTCCATTTTCTAAAAGAATTACTTAATTACCAATATAATTTAATCATTTTAAATTATTCAAAATGAAATTATATCCAAGTGCCCAAAATCATACCTTTGTAGAAACCAAAGGTTAGTTGCAAAAAGAAAATTGTGCCAACAGTCTCAGAAAAAATTTGCTAGATTCAAAGGGAAGAGTGTTTCAAACAAACACACCACACATACAAACCTGAAAACTCATTTAAAGCCAAATACATCAACTAAATAAGTGGTTTAAAAAAAAGAAAAGGAAAAAAAGAAACATTTGGATGGAACTCAGGAAATTCCAAATCAACAATAGACAAACAGGTAAACAGGCGAATGACATTGTCTCCATCTAGCCTGACTTGAATCCCTCTTTTACAAGTCCCCTGTGTTGTACACACATCCTTGTATTCTGGACACCTTGTTTACAACAGGCACAGACTTCTGTAGGGAGCACTTATATTTTTTCCCAATATTTCATTTGCAGTAAATAAAAGTTATCTTCCATTGGGGTTGAAAGGCAACAGAGAAACAGCCTGCTCACCTTTCAATATTCCTGACTGCAAAGGATCTTCTGTAAGCATCAAAAGAAAAGCCTTCCCAGAATTCAGTAGAAAATAAACAATGAAGCTCATATTTATTTTGCAACCCCTGGAAAGTTTCCAAGAACTTGGTAATCTCAGTCATTAAAGAAACTGTTGGCCTATGGGGCCAGGCCTCAGGAGTGCAGATCTTCCTTGAAGAAATGTGGGATTAAATGATAGCTCTCCATAGACAGAGGAGCTTAAAAAACAAAACACAAAACTCTACCAGTACTCATATTGACTCTCGGGGTATATTTTCAACGTAATGTGCAAACAGTTTAGCCACCTGACTGCCACTGATGTCAATGGTGGCTGCAGAGTTAAATCCTAATCTGCCACTTTCGATAGGGACCCTACCGCTTTCTTCTCTTGCTACCACAGAGTTTATTTTGTTGCTGATAAGAGGAAAAAGAATAAAAGAAATCATTTGGCTTGTAGCATCAGGCATCAGTACACTCAACTAGTGCTCATTTGAAAACTTTGAGAAGTCAGTTGTCTGCAAATTTTGCCAAGACCAAACTATACATAAGGTGATAGTCATAATAACTATCATGATTTAATCATCATGTAATTCATATATGCATCCAAACATCAAACTGTACCCAACAAATATGTTTATATTAATCTATATTATTTATTTCAGTGCTTTTTCATTAATCCTTTTAGGGTTCTTTGCTTCTTATATGTCTACCAAGAGCAGTAAACTCTTTTCCCAGAAAGAGGTACATATATTCAAATTTGTTAACAAAATTACACAGGGTTTGCAGAGTGCCTGATGCCCACTCATGGATATGACCCCCAGTTCAAGAATCCCTAATCTAGCAGATGCACCTAAATATCATAAACCACTCTCTGTGTTTGCTGTATAGGAGCATTAAAAGGAAATTTCAGGTATTTGAAGGAATGGTTCCAAATAAAGCTACTGTGCTTTTCATTGCTATTGCTTTATTCATTTAATGAAGAGAACCTCTCAGTATTACCATGTTGCCTATGTTGTGGTATATGATACATACGTGAAACATGGCCATTCTAATGAGTACACTGACAGTGAATTCAGTAACAACAACCAGCAACCAGTTAGCAACTATTTGTTTCATTCAGTTAACTCACAAAGGCTATCTGTTCTGCATACCTTATATTTGGTGAAGCTAATTCATATTTTTGAGGAGCTCACTGCCAAAATCATTCCCAAGATTTTAATCTCTTAGGAAATAGTAAGGAAGCGGTACTTCCCTTCAACCTTTCTGGTAACAAACCAGTCCCTGAAACGACAATAGCAGTAACTTACACAATTCTCAGCTTGTATACTATGGTATGTCAAAGGCAAGCTTTTAATACCTCATTAACATTTGCCTTTGACTGAATTCCTACATTATTCAGGGTACTCCATGGAGATAGAAATGGAAGTAGAAAACTCGATTTCTTCCTCAAGGGTCTTTACAATCTGGTTAGCAGATAAAAGAGAGACGGACAGGGCCAGTAGAAATATAAATACACATCTACAAACGTATAAGTGCAGTCATTTCACAATCTACTACCACTGTACAGAGTATTGTTACACAAAGGTTAAGAAATTGAATTGGGAATCATGACAGGAAAAATGATACCATGCTGAACAAGTATCAAGAGCTTTGAAGAGAGTAAGAGACAGGATTTCGAGAGGAGCAATTTTGAAAGCATTTCATTTAAACTTTTATCTGAAATTCCTCAAAGTTAGAGAAGTTTTTAAGTGGCTAAGCAATGTATATTTGAATAAAAATGAAAACATCATTGAGAATGCCACTAGAAATTAGGACATTTAGAATCTATCAACCATAAAGGGTGGTATATCTAAACAGGAACTGTCCTATCCAGGTACGATTTTTGGGATGCTCTTCCGTCCACACTGAGCACTCACATACTGAGAGAAAATATTGACTAGGTCTATTAGGTCAAACACCTCTACGGAAGTCAGAAAGCATTTTTACTTGAGACTTTCTATAATCAACTAAATAATTAGTAAATCAGAACTTAGTCCACATTGTTGATTATATTCATCAGTTTATTTTAATATATGTAAGTGCTAGGAAGGGAAGGCCGTGATCCCTGGCTAGGGCTCCATGCCTGGGCCTATGCCCACAGACCTAGGTGAGGACAAGCATTTCTGTTGTCCTGCCCAAATGTTGCATTTCCCAAGACCAACCTGGCCTGCCACGCACCCGTCCTGTGCCTATAAAACCCCACTTCGAGCCCCTAGCAGGCAGGCACACAAGCAGCTGGACATCAAGGAGAACACATCAACAGAAGAAGACAAAAGCAGCTGGACGTTGAGAGGAACACACTAGCCTAAGAACTCAATGGAAGACACCAGCAAGCTCGCAGGCCGTCGATTGGTGGAATGACACAGAGTTTGACCGTGGCAGTCAGAGGAGAGCCCAGGCTGCTCAACTGACCGACTCCATGGAAAAACCACCTTCCCATTCCATCTCCCTTCTGGCTCCCCATTCTGTTGAAGAGCTGCTTTCACTGAATTAAACCTTGCACTCATTCTCCAAGCCCACGTGTGATCCGATTCTTCTGGTACAACAAGGCAAGAAACCCCGGGATACAGAAAGCCCTCTGTTTTAGCCATAAGGCAGGGAGTCTAATTGAGCTAACACAAGCTGTCTACCAATGGCTAAACTGAAAGAGCATACTTTCGCCCCCGTGCTACCTCCTGCTCTGAATGTGGTTCACTGTATTTGCCCCTGAAGTCCACCAAAAGACCAAGGGAAGCCTGTCCAAAATCATGATCTGTGGTCCCAGGGAAGACATTCTGTGTGATAGAAGTGAGCTTCCTGTGAAGTAGCTGGGATACTTTCTTCATTCTTATGACAGTCAGGGCTGCATCCTCAGTGAGTAATAACCACTATGTAAATAAAGGTACTTCTAAGCAAAGAGTTTAAAATCTAGATAGCTAGATGTTCTCAATAGAAGTACTTACAGTAAGGAAGTCATTTTTCATTACTAAACCCTATGTGTAATAGGTTCTTTGCTACACAGGAAACTTAATTCTTGGCTCTAAAAAGAATCTTAATAACAGCCCAAATGATATCAACACCAAAGGTATGTATTAATAATGTCATTACATGGAGCAGATGAGTAAATTACAGTTAGGCAATCTCCCAAATATTATTATGAAACACCCATAATGATTTTCCAAAGGTGATTGATTTTTCTTTTTACTAATAGTCATAAAATGTTTCATGGTACTTCAGATTTATATTATAAAAATGAAGTAATATCTCTATTACTGATTAAGAAGCAACATACAGTTCATTCTCTTTTTAGGAATTTGCCCTGTCTTGTCTTTATTCAACAGAAGTAAAACATACAGAAATTTGACATATCAAATTCATTCATCAGAATATAAATTGCCTCATAAATGGTCTCACTGATCTTTTGATTGGCAGATAGTACCATGCAAGGAGGGCAGAATTGGTGATCATCAAATGTCAGGAAATTGAATGATATTTGAAAAAGACTAGATTCTTTAATTTTATTAAATTCCCAGAAGGTAGAGACCATATCTTATTCATCTCCTAAAAACCCATTCCTGTGTTTTGTCCATTAAATATTTGTTTGGGTTTTCTTCTCAAGGGAGACTAATGAGACTAATCAGTTTTTAGACCACATTTCCAATGAAAGTAGTGTCACTGCAGCCCAAGGAAGAAATGAAGCCTGCTATCCATTGTAAAATAAATATAATCAGGGAGTTATTAAAGTGATCATTTCTAATAATAATGATGAAACATCTGCCACGAGTCAAGATTTATTTGGATGTAGATAAATTAGAGTCATAGAACAGTCTGAAACAAGAAAGAAAAGGTATAATGAGTAATCTACTGATCATTAACAGAACAAAATGTTAGGTTTTCACCTTGACCCAAATTTACTATCTATCATTTTTCCCATTGGAATTAGGGGATTAAGAATTATTAAAACCTAATAAGAATTTTTATACTTCTTTGACTTGTGTTTTCATACTCATTTCCTGGTGGAGTATTGACTAAAGCTAATTGGCAAGTATTTCAATGAAAGACAAATCCTTTACAAACCCTAGTATCTATAAAAATCAACAAGTTTCCTGTTAAGAATGTAGTTTGCTGAGCTCCACCTTCACAGATTCTAATTTGGTTGTCTAAAGGTGCAGGTCTAGAAAAGTTTTAAAGCAATTCCCTCTAAATTGGTGTTTGTATCAAACACACTGAGAAACATGTCACAGGAAACAACTCATATATTGGCTATGTGTAAATACAGAACTTTTTATTATATATTTTTAATTGACAAATACAACTGTATAGGACTTAATGCAAGTAAATGCAATAGTCACTTTTAAAGATTTCCTAGGCTTAGACTGTCTCCCAACCTTCATAAACTCCTCAATAAGGAGAGAATAAACAATAAATTCCAATCTATGGAAAAATCAACATACAATTCTATTTCTTTACCTTCATGAAAAAGTTCCATTTTGAATTTTCCCTAATAGATGTAGTACCCAAAATGTGACAAATATGATTGATATATTTTATGAAAACAAACACCTAAAAAGAAGTTGTAGCCATACACACATAGACATCATGTTGCTTTAAGAAACCTTTTCATCATTCTGCACCTATTCCCAATAAGAGAGAAGATATGATTTGAAGGGGGAAAAAAAAAGTGGAGCCCTAGGTTTTTTTTTTTAATCTAGGATTAGAATTTCCCCATGACATATACCACCCACATTCTTTTTGATAGAGTATAACAAGCATTAAAAGAAAAAGAATTGTTTCATTTAAGTTAGCATAAAACAGTAGGCAATAATAGCCTTGAAAGACTCAAAATGAAGGCAATAACAATCTAGATGGACCTCCAAAGAATAAGAGCTATAAATAAAACTTGTACAGTGTATCTTATTATGCATGACCTCATTTGATTCTCACAATAATTCTGTGAGGATAGAAATATTTGTATTTTATCCTATTACAAAAACTGAAGTTCACAGAGATTGGGGGCTTTGCTCATTAGCACATAATTAGTAAATAGAAGAACAGAGAACTGAATCTACATTTCCTAGCTTCAAATTTTACAGCAAAAACCCAATTCCAGGTCTTGAAATTTCCAAAATTTCTAAAGTAATTTTTCTTAAGTACAGTATGGATGTATTTCAAGAATGATTTATTTATTTATTTATTTATTTGAGACAGGCCCCTCAGCTTCCCAAGTAGCCAAGGACTACAAGGCACATGCCACTGTGCTTAGATAATTTTTTTTATGTTTTTTGTAGAGATGGAGTCTTGCTATGCTGACGAGGCCGGTCTCCAACTTCTGGCCTCACCTTGGCTTCCCAAAGTGCTGAGATTACAGGCATGAGCCTCAGTATTACACACCTGGCCTCAATAATTTACTTTTTAAGTTAATTATGTAAGATTAAATGTTTTCTCATTTATAAAGGTAGATTTAATTGCATACATGGTATGTTTTCATTATTGGTAGAAGAAATGCGGACATGCAGGTAGAGTGCAGGGAATTGCAGACATCCCAGATCAAACATCCTAATGTGTCACTATAAGGTAGAGAACAGTTGCCCAAATATAGCCTGCCTCAGATGTCCAATTAATGTTTAGACTTCAGCACTTATAAAATTACCACAAAAATAGCTCAAAGCTCTAACTTTTGATACAAGGAATAACTGATTAAAATAATCATAATAGTAATAAGCCTTGTAAAACAGAAATAGGAGGTCTCGCCTCATTTTAGGTTACCTTCTGTCTCTAAAATCTTGGGCATGACCCTGGCAGCATTTCAAAATTTCTTCTCCTACATTTCCCATAAAACACTAGAGCATCTAGAAGAATGTTTGCCACATAGTAAGTGTTCATTAAATATGGATTAAATTCTTCAGAGAAAGATTTCATGGACATCTTAAGGGATAGAAAGAGGAAAAAGAAGATATGGGTGTTGTTATCTTCAATTTATGTATAAAGATGCTGAGGCTTGAGGAAGTTAAGGTCACATAGCTTTAAGGCATGGAGTAGGAATCTGAATCCACACCAGTGCCACACACCGGAGTCCACACTCTTAACCACTGCATCACATCATCTTTTTGTTTATTCTTCTCTTGCTCTCTGAATTCTTAGGGGGCAAACTGACATAATGCCCCTAAGGGAAAATACGAGGGATAGCTCTAAAAGATTTCAAGTGGTTTTCAAAGAACAGAGTCTAGTCAGAAAATTATAGAATGTTACAAAGAACCTCAGATATCATCCAGTCTTGTCCCAAGAACATTCATTTTGGAGCCATTATATAAAAGAGCAAATATTCTTCAATAAGTTAATCTTCATGTTCAATATCCTAGACAAGTCCATGGCTGCACTGGAATTCAGAACTCAGGTCTCCTGATGATTTATTTCAAATCACTATCCTCTGCTCTTCATGGACCTTGATTTACATACTAGCAGCCATGGATCCACTATGGTGCTTAGGTGTATATCAAGGACCTTCACATTTCTAACCACATCTTTAGTTGCTCCTGCTGGCAGTGGTGTTGGCGGATGTGTTTACAATACAAAATTGTAATCCCTGTCTCCAGATTGTGAGGGATTCCTAAAAATATTAATATCTGTCTCTCTACTTCTAATAATCAAGACAAGTGTTGATCATTTTCTCCCAGAATATGCTTAGGAAACTGTTCTCAGCTTTCATCCTGTTAAGGAGAAAGCAGAGACATCAACCCCTGACTCCTTCACCATACCTAACTGTCCTTCTTCCCACAGTATCCTAGGACCAAGCTACATGGGCATTCCATGAAGCAAAAATTACTAAGACATGTTCTCAGTTTTCTCCATCCCTGGCTCATTGTAGAATTTTATGATGATGTCTCTCAGGGGCAGTTCTTCATATACTCATGAAAGCCAAATGAATATAGAAAATTATCTTCTCTCTCAACACAGCTGATTTTCATGACTATGAACTTGAGGACTCAAAATACTACTCTGTATATTAAGAACTGAATATGAACTTTACTTATCATCCCACTAATACAATCCCAATCAGCCCCCAAGTTGAACGGATGCCTCTGGGAGATCAGGAACAAATAAATTTTTAAAAGCAAAAGCAAATTTATGTATTTCAGAAATAGTATCTTTTTATGACAAGGAATTAGCTTAAATTTCAGGCTACAGTCAGTCACTATGAGGAGCAATCATGCCTCACTCCAAACTTCATGTAGCTTGCTCTAAAAAGCCATGAACTGACTCAATAGCTGTTTTTTGTGAGGAAGAATTTATGTGTAAATTTGGAGACGACCTAGACAATTCCTTGCTTCCTGACCTCATTGGCCCCTCAGCTAAAGAGGATGGAATCCTTACCTTATACCTTTGCCAAATCTCTTAGACCTGAAGGAGGCTTTTACATCTGGGTCCCAGAAATGAATAATCTGCAGAAAATCTAATTGTACTCTTCAGCTCTTCAGATGAAATATAAAATTTCTACTCTTACTCTGCAAAACATAAAGATATGTAAGTCTCTTTATAAAAAATCTCCATTACCCAGATTCTTTTTTTCTGTTTTTTTGCTTTGTTTTGTTTTGTTTTAGATGGAGTTTCACTCTTGTTACCCAGGCTGGAGTGCAATGGCACAATCTTGGCTCACTGCAACCTCCGCCTCCTGGATTCAAGCAATTCTCCTGCCTCAGCCTCCCAAGTAGCTTAGATTACAGGCATAAGCCACCATGCCCAGCTAAATTTTTTGTATTTAGTAGAGACAGGGTTTCATTGTGTTGATCAGGCTGGTCTCGAACGCCTGACCTCAGGTGATCCACCTGTCTCGACCTCCCGAAGTGCTGGGATTACAGGCATGAGCCACTGTGCCCGGCCTACCCAGATTTTCTTTGCTATCCATTAGCATGTTTCAAACATGGAAATTGGAGTTTAAATGAGTCAGAGCCCTCAAAATTCCATCATTTGATTTTTTTAAAAACTGCCACCTTTTGTTTTGTTACAAAAAGAGGAGTAAGTAGGATTTCCCTTGTGTTTTACATGAAAGAGAGCAGGTTATAGATTCCATTTTGCCTACCCTTTCCTTTGAGAATTATCATGGCAGTTCCCTTTCCTTTAATAAAAATAATTTAATTTTATAAAATAAACTTTTGAGGTAACAAATGAGCTATATGAATGTTTCCTGCATGAACACTTTTAGTAGGAAAGATTTACTTAAAACTTGTATACAGAAATTCTTCCATGTTTGAGCTCAAGGTTAGAATTTCCAGTACTGACAGCTATCATTGGTCTGCCAATCTAATATTTGAGGCCTGGTGTACATCCTCTCATTTAATGAAGGTAACACTAGGCCAATTTCAACATAAATGATCCTTCATACATTCATAATAAACCATTTTGAAACAATCTTATTGTATTATAATATCAATATCTGCTTTGTGACTATAACATCAATATCTGTTTATTATATGAAAGTCAGGACATATGGGAAAGCATATAAAAATAGACAAATTGAAATACTACTGCTCTACAACATAACTTTAATATTTTGATGTATTACCTTCTAGATTACATATATAGTCTGTGTTTATATATATCATAGTGTATTAGTCTGTTTTCACACTGCTAATAAAGACATACTCAAGACTGGCTAATTTATAACGTAAAAAAGGTTTAATGAACTCACAGTTTCACATGTCTGGGGAGGCCTCACAATCATGGTGGAAGGTAAAAGGAATGTCTTACATGGCAGCAGGCAAGAGAGAATGAGAACCAAGTGAAAGGGGTTTCCTCTTATAAAACCATCAGCTCTCATGAAACTTATTCACTACCACAAGAACAGTATGGGGGAAACTGCCCCCATGATTCAAATATCTCCCACCAGCTCACTCCTACAACAGATGGGAATTATGGGAGATACAATTCAATATGAGATTTGGGTGGGGACACAACCAAACCATATCACATAGTTTTTAAATAACAAAAGATTATATAAATGTATTAGTTTTGGAGTGATTATAGTTCACTTCCAACTGCACATGCCACCAAAACTGACAAAGAAGTCTGTATTTGTTATCACCAATGTTAAACTTCCCCAGTCTTCTCTGGACTTTTATGACACTGCACAGTTGGAAGAAAAAAGGTGATTTGCTTTAGAGAAGGCACAAGCATAAATCTGAGGCTAAAATGAGCTGGGAAGCAGCCTCTACCTAGAATGCGTGACCAAGCACCAGACAGTTGGAAGACATTGACAATTGGGATATGTACAAATGAGATCTTGAAGATTTTTTCTTTACTTTCAGAATGTGCATTCCACATCATTCTCGTCTGTGGAATTGAATTATAATTATTCTATTGGATCTCTGTACTTTCAACCAAGAAGGCTCAAAGTGGAATGAATGGGGCTCATCTATTCAGACTACATATCATTTTGTAATCTTATTTTTTCTAGTTAATATTTTGTGACAGCCTTTGTCAATAAGCATAATACTTATTATTTTATAAAGTTGCATAGTATATATGTAAAATATATCAATAATTATTTTGACATATTTTAAGTTGTTTCTAATTTTCATAAAATACAATTTTATATACAAAAGTATATAATTTTTTAATAATTTTGTTACAGTGACTTCTTAGAAGTATACTTTATGTGCCAATGGTAATACACTTATTTAGTGTTTTGGTATCTATTAGCTAATCAACCTCCAGAAAAATCATATGTTCCTATAAAGTTTCCCGCACCGACACCAGTACTAATTATCCTCAATTTTGTTTTTAATTTGTTTGCAGGATTGGAAAACAACAAAAGTGATAGATTTTTTAAATCTTATTGATTTATAGTGACATAGGACATCTTATCAAAAGTTCACCGATCAAAAATGTATCATTGACATTAGGATGCTCTGAAGAGGACAGTTATTCTTATTGCAAATCCAGGAATAATCTTATTGATTGCTTAAATTATTTAAATGAAAACCTGGTCAAAATAACTTAGAAAATAAACCAAAGAGCACAATAAAATCTAATAGAATGCTAACCCTTCCAGATGAATAGCTCTATATTAAGTGAATGCTTCTTTTATATATACTAAATCAATTTTACCAGAATGATAAAAACCCTTTAAATAAATGTCTATGAAGAATAAATAGTATAATAATCAGTTTCAAAGTAGATTCCCTTGAAGGTCAGATAACTTTACTTTGAAAAGAACCTACTTTTTTACAGGGGCACAAAATAAATGCTTTCAATATATCGCTTTAGCAAATGGTTCTACTTTATAGTTTTACAAAGTCCACTATTTTTTTAACATGGCCATTACATAGAAGTAAATACTTTTCTAATAGTTTTATCTATAAAAATAATCCATCTAATTTTCCCTTTTCTAGAAATTTTAAGCCCTCATCTGCGTATGGCACAGTTGGGGACCACGTATTTTGACAATACTGTCTATATATGATGTCATCTCCTCAAATATATCATTATTTCAAGAAGTGAAAACATTATGCTTCTCTTTCAAAGGCTTATTATTTGTTCTATTTTTCATTTTTAGAAGAAATGATAGTATTACATGGAACATATACATTTTCTAGGAATTATAACACACAATTTTTAACAATTGCAGCTGTCCCATAATGTTGATATTATTTAGGATTCTATTCTTGACCCTCTGTTTCTTTCACTCCACAGTGACCTTACTTAAATTCTATTCAGCACAAGCTCAATATGTTCAAAATGAACTCATTATCTCTTTACCACTACCACCCCACAATACACACACATACAAATCTGCTCTTCTTCCAATATTTGTTGAACAGTTGCCCTGTTACAAACAAGAAAGTCATTCTAGACTTTCTTTTTAACTTCCAACATCAAATCAGCCACCAAGTCCTATTGATTCCACTCCCTAAATAGCTCCCCCATTCCTATTGACACACCCTTAATTTAGGTCTTAATTATTATTATGACACTCTAAGTTTTTTTCTCTGCTTCTAACCTTATCTAAACTTTAGCCATCTCCTAATCAATTGTCCTTAAGGCTATCAGAAGAATCATCCTAAAATGCTGATGTGATTATATCGCCAACATTCTAAAAAGTCTAACTATAGATTTTCAAAACCCCTTAGCTTCACACACAAATCTCTATATATTCTGATACCTGCCTGCTCTGCAGTTTCACCATGGACTGCTCATTGGCACATATTCTATACAGTATGTCAGCAATTCAGAAGGGTCTGATGTGTCCTGAATTTACCTCCCTCTTCCTTTTGTCCATTTCTCTACACACCTCTCTTCCTATTCTTCATGCCTCCTGATCAGAAAATGTGTATCTTTTAAGAAAATTAAAATTCACCTTACCCAAACAAGTCTTTCCTAAAACATGATGCTGAATTGGATAGTCTTCCATATAATTTCACAAAAAGGACCATTTTACTATGTTTTCTTGACTTAAGGGAGAGCTTCCTGATAAAAAGTCCTTCTCCTTCCACACATGTGACCCCAGCACCTATCACACTGCCCAGTCAAAATAATGAATATGTAAGATAAGAAGCTCCTGTCTTACAGACATATAAACATGGACTGGATTTCCACCTACCAAGGATGCTTTAGAAAAGGTTGAATATGGTCATATCTGTTTAGAACACATACAGTCTGTTGTATATAAATTAATTAACAAAATTAATGAAACAGTGTGAATGTATTTACTTATTGTCAGTATATCCTTGTTTGTTTGTGTTGCTATAAAGGAAATCTGAAGCTGGATAATTTACAAAGAAAAGAAGCATTTGGTCCATGGTTCTTCAGTCTGTATAAGAAGCATGGCACCAGCATCTGCATCTGATGAGGGCCTCAGGCTGCTTCCACTCATGGAGGAAGGAGAAAGAGAGCTGGTATGCACAGTGATCACATGGCAAAAGAGGAACCAAAAGGCAGAGAGGAAAGAGAGGTGCCAGGCTCTTTTAAACAATCAGCTCTCACAGGAACTAATAGAATGAGAACTCATTCATGAGCTCCCCACCCAGGGAGAGTACTTATCTATTCATGACAGTTCCACTCCAATGACCCAAACACCTTTTATTAGGCCCCACCTCCAATATTGGAGAACAAATTTTAACGTGAAATTTGGAGGAGACAATACCAAATTATAGCACAGTATCAAGCAGTTCCTTGCGGGTGGGCCACTCGAATCTCCCATCCATAACCTCCATTACCCTTCAAAAGCATCTTAAACTAAATATAGACCAAGTAAAAATATTATGCTTTACAGATGATATAGCTATTTGAAGTCAATTCTCCATGGGTTTTCCATGTTTATACACTTCTTGTGAGTAAGGGCACTGCCAATCTTTGCTCCAAACTATCTTTCCAAGGCTGTTTGTGTAGTGAACAGTTATAAAGATTGACACAGTGTCTTCCTGCAAAACAAAGAGTAAGATTTTTTACTGCCCAATATAATAAATATAATGTCCCCCTTTGAGACAAAGAGCTGGTTTTCTTGAAATCTATTATAAAATATCTGAGTTCCCTAAACTTGAGTTTCTTTAACTGTAATGAAACCAACCACATGTGCAGCATCTTCCCTGTCCCTTTCCCATCACCTTCATGGCATTGAGAGACAAGGAGAAATGATACAAACATGTATTTCATGTGGCTTACTGCACCGTGAGCAATAAAGCCCCGTCTTACACCAAGTGTTTTGTTGCTTCTTTCAGTGTCCATGAAAGAGTAGGTTAACTTGTTAGCCTGCAAGTACAATTCATTTCAGGCCCATCAGAGTTGTTAAGAATAGCTGTAAGATAAACCCTGTCCTTCAAACCAGATTGCCATTGCAAAACCCATCTTTTGAAAAAATTCTGGTAAAATTTCCATTCACAGATTACCATAGAGAACATTTAGTTAACTAGCAGTGTATTCAGCCCTAACACCCTAAACATCCAAACACAGACAATAATCATGCTAAAACTAGTTATTTTTATCAAGAATGGTAGTCTTGCTCTACTGCCCCTTTGTAAATCAAAAACCATTCTTCTTACACTTGACCCCATCCAAGTTATTCACATTCAGCCTAACTTGGTTCATTGCAAAAGGACTTCCTTTCTTCTGCCTTCCCAAGATTATTTATAATAGGTAGCAGCCTGTGCTCTTGGAGGAGAATATAGCTGATTAGATATAAAAATTGTTACTCATACTCAGCATTTGTACCTCACACCTTCAACTCTGGCTTGATTAAATTTTTTGGAACATGCCTGCAGCCTCATTTATGCCAAAAGCATGAATTAGTACCTCTTTAGTTTCTGTAGTGCATAATAATGCCTTACCATTAGAAGGTACAAGTTGAGTGTCCCTACTCCAAAAATCTGAAATCCAAAACTTTTGAAGCATGAACACGACATTTAAAAAAAAATGCTCATTGGAGAATTTCAGATTTGTGATTGTTTTGATTAGGGATACTCACCAGTAAGTACAATGCAAATATTCCAAAATCTGAAAAAAACCCAAAATACAAAGCCTTTAGAGCATTTTGGATAAGAGATATTTGAACTGTATTGAATAAGTATTTGTTCAAAATAACAAGCAAAATTAAACCAAAACACATTTTATTTCACTAAGGAGTATATAAGCTTCTTTAGGAAAAAAGTAAGTCTTCTTTGCAAACCATTTGGCTTCCGACAGATACTGAATACTTACTGATATGTTGATAAGCAAGCAGTCTACCACAGTGGATACCAAAACTAAGGATACATCAGAATCACTCAGGATGCTATACTTATTAAGCCATAATCTCTGGAGGCAGGGCAGGGTAATCTCTAGTTTGGAAAAGCTCTCCTAGCAGAGTCTGAGATGTGATAAGAATTTGAAAGAGGTTGATAGATTATTGTGACCATTAAACCTTTTGGAAATAATCATAATTCTAGCCTATTTTCAGTTAGTGGCTTGCTAAACAAACAACAACAACAACAACAAACAGATATTTCACATGGTCGTGATTAGTTTCCAAAGTAAAAATTAAATTTTAGAAAGATGATTCTCATATATAAATGTTCCTTCTTAATATCAACAAAATTTGACTGATCCTAATAGTTGTGGTTTTCTCTGACACTAATTGAATGATACATAATAACTTTTATTATTAATGTAGTAACTCCTTTTTAAAGTTTTATTTATTAATAGCTCAATGGTATCTACATATATTTGAAAAAGTATATGTGTATATGGGTGTATGTGAAAGAAAAGCGTGTCTATTCAATCTACAGATTATGCTTGTTCTACCTAGAAATTCTCTGACTACGTTGAATATTTCTTCCTTCTCCTTCTCAGGTTTCTGGATACCATACTCAGAGCCAGAGCAACTGTCATGGAGGACACAGCCCAACTTTAAAAATTGAAACTTTGGGCAGATAAAAATTACCAGGACATTAACTGAAAAGTCATTATATAATAGTATGCTTTTCTTACCAAAATACCTAAGTATTCAAACTTTTCATACATTATATTTTGATTTGTCATTATCATGCCCTCAAGATAGACACTATTTACCCTCATCTTTTAATGTGGATACTGCGATATGGAGAAGTTAAGTGATTTGCTTCAGGCTTCCAGAAGAGTTAGAATTCCAAATCTCCTGGCTGGCAGTTTCTTGTCTGATACATGAGACAGCACTGCCCCTCTAAGGCAGCTGAATGTATACAGGAATCAAGCTTAGAGGCAGGATTTACCGTTATTTTCAGGCAAGGTTTATAAGAAGCTGAACAGTCTCTAAGCAGCTAAGAATTCAACTGCTGAGTCATTTTTTTTTCCCAACCATTCAAACAGTTTAACATGCCTTCCTCTCCTTAAATCAGAACACAGACTTCTAATTCCAGGATGATGAAAGCCTGTCACTTGACGGTGAGGGGTGCGTTTGATGAATATCACAAGGTAATAGTGCATATCTCTTACTGATGAGATCAAATGAAATTGTAGATTTAAGATGTAAGTGTGGCATAGAAAAAAGAAGATTAAATCACATTCAGAAGAAAACAACATTTGGGAGAAGACATCTAGAGACAAAAATTGTCAAAAGTTTATTGTAAGGCTATGAAAAATGAGCTTAAGAAAAGCAAAACAGATTATTACAATATATTGAAGGTTATTGTAATGTAACTGTAAACAGGTTATTACAATATACCATGAAGCTTACTCATTTGTAATGGGTTGAATTATGTCCCCCCAAAATCCATATGTTGAATCCCTAAGCCCAGTATTTCAAAATGTGACTATGTGTTTAGAGATAGGACCTTTAAAATGGCAATTAACTTAAAATGAGGCTCTTGGTTGGGCCCTAATCCAGTCTGACTGGAGTTCTTATAAGAAGAGGAGCTCTGTACATACAGACAGTCTACAGGCGAATGCGTGCACAGAGAGATGATTTTGTGAAGAAGGAGCAGAGAGCAGTGATCTGCAAGACAAGGAGAGAGACCAGAGGAAACTCACACTGACAACACCTTGACCTTGGACTTCAAGTCTCTAAAATTGTGAGAAAATAAGTTTCTGTTATGTAAGCCACCTAGTGCATGGTATTTTCTTATGGCAGCCTTAGTAAAATGAGACACCACCGATTTTGTGGATTAATCCAGAAAGGTCAAGGAATGTGCCTAAGACCACATAATGGTACACTTGTCCTTGGTCCACTGCTGCCCTTCTGGGGTCTTTTCCTGACCCACTCACCTGCAGCACAGGGTGTCAGTGCCTTACCCATTGGCTCCTGTGATTTGCCTCTACACAGGATCACTGTCACCTATGACTGTCTGAGGCTCATGTTTCTGACTGAAGGTTCCCGCTCAGCCTTTATACAGGCTAGGCACACACAGAGTGCTGGACAGTTGATGCCCAAAAAAAGGCTCTACATACATAATGGACAGGAATTTGGTGAATACATATCCCAGCTTCCTTACTCCTTGGTCAGGATAACTCTGGGCCTCTTTCTATGCTGTCTCCCAGAGTTCTCCAGTGAGGCTAACCTCCGACTGCTCACAGTAGTAACTGGTTTGACAATGTACCTCTTTAGGGGGTTCATTTCCTCTCCATTATATTTTCCCACTCCTCTCCCAATAATTCCTTGGATTACCTCCCAAATAAACTACTTCCACTCAAATTATTGCTTGAGATCAGCTTCTAAACCCAAACTAAAATTCTGTCTCCATGTTCCTCTCATTTAAATCATCATTCCAGTTTATAGATTTGAGATTAGGCTACAGATTATTTGAGAAAGACCTAAAAAGTTTCTAAAGCCTTTTTTAAGACAGATTAAAAAAAAATAAGAAAAGTGCATGCCTCCCAACTTTGTAATAGTTCTAGAATTTAAATTAGTTTTCAAAGTGTCCACCCTGAAATCACTTCTCTTTGAAGACCTTTTACTCTTGCTCTATAAATATGCTCATATGTGTCCCCTTAAAAAATTAACACTTCCTTGACTCTGGTTTCCTCTAGTTTCTGTTGAAGTCACTGAAATGTTTCTGGCAAAAAGACCCTGTAAGAACACTGCCATATCTAATGAACACCTTTCAATTATTACCTTACATAGAAGTTTTAATGCAGTCTAATTTTAAATTTTTTATAGCATAAGCTTTATAACATCTTTTCTTACCCCAATATCAGAAAACCATTCTCTTATATTTTCTGCTCAAGGGATTAAGGTTTGATTTTACATTTAGATCCTATTCTACTTGGAATTTATCATTAAAAGACCCTCATCTATATGATATATTTTATCACTCACTTCTGAAATCCTTCTACACCAGCTTCTTTGACTCTTCTCATCAACTGACCCTTTTAGATTTCTAATCATTCATTAGTGGTTGGTTTATACATTCCTCCTCTTGTGCATACTCTGGGAATTCCCTCAGAGCCTGCCTTCTGACCAGTCATTTTTTATTACACATTCTTCATACTAATCATATCCCCAGCTTTATATTTATATTCTTGTTTTGTATTTATGCACTTCTTACTGAACCTTAAAATCAACAAATTCAAAAATTAATCATATTTTTTATTCTACCAGTGAAACATCCTGTTTTCCCGGTATTCTATTCTACTCTGATTAATTGTACTATCATCTATCCAACTGCCCATTTCAGAAATCCAAGGGTAGTCCTATATTCTCTTAATTATTGCCTCAACTCACATTTCAATAAATTAATCATCAAGTTCCAATAATTTTAATTCCCAAATATTTATCACATCATTTCTCCTTTCTTGGTCCCACCTACATCTTTACAAACTGGTCAATACATTCTTCATATTTTACCTAGTTAATTTAGATACCTTCTTTGTACTGTACTGTACCACTCAAACCCATACTCCCCAAGGCCCCCAGAGAGGTGTGACAGCAACAGAAATTACTACTGCTCACCAATATTTCGAGGTCTTGTCTCTTTTTGCATGTAGAAAAACTTCAACCTTTTCAGATCTCTTACACTTAAGTAGGACCATATGACTTCTTTGAGCAATGGTTTTTGTAGGGAAGCAATTATTTACAGGTGGAGGTAATGAAAAGTCTGTATGTGACTTTCCGTTCTCTATTCCCCTGCATCATCCACCAAAAAGATGGTGCAAACCGGTTAGCCAGGGTTTGAGTGAATATTTAGGTCTGAAGACCCTACTTCTTCCAGCCAAATTGAAGATTTGTAGGTTAATTTGTTATCTCAACTTAAAAGCCTACCATTACTGATACAATGTCTAAAACAAAATTTTGACTATGTCACATGCCTAAATAAATCCTCCAATAGTTTGCTTACCATTCTTGAACTATGGTCCAATAATTTTACACGGTAAAATAAGGACTTTTATAAGTTATCCTCCACTCATCTTCATCTCATGCTCAGTGCTTTCACTTTATGCTCTAATAATATACTAAGTGCTTATTCTTTTTGTGTATTCATATCTTCACACACTTTTTTTTCTGAAACAGAGTCTCGCTCTGTCACCCATGCTGGAGTCTCACTCTATCACCCATGCCTGATCACAGTGGTGTGATCATGGCTCACCGCAGCCTTGACCTCCTGGGCTTAGGTGATCTTCCCACCTCAGCCTTTGGGGCAGCTAGGACTACCGGCGCCCACCAACACATCAGCTAATTTTTGTTGAGGTGAGGTTTCACCATGTTGCCCAGACTGTTTCAAGTGATCTATCTGCCTCGGCCTCCTAAAGTGCTAGGATTACAGGTGTGAGCCACTGAGCCCAGCCGTATCTTCATACTTTTGTTCCTACTTTTATCTCTACCTTGAGTTCTTGTCCTCCTACTATTTAATTGGATAACTTCTGCTCAAACTTTGAGACTCCATTCAGGTGTCAGCACCTCCAAGAAAGATTTCTTGAACTTCAAGCTGATTATAAACTTCTCCAGGGAATGTGTGATATTTATCTTTTTAATCCCCATCTTCTATCACATTGCCTTTTACTTAAAAGGCACCTCAATTGATGTTTCTTGAACTCTCTTCACAAAATAATTCCAAGACAAATAATCAAAAGCCTTAATCAAATGAAAGATTTAATCATTTTAATCAATGAGGTTTTCTCCACAAGACTAGATACATCATTTTTAATTCACAAACGAATTGATCATCATTTTTAAATAAAATGAAATATAACTAAAAACATAAACTTCTTTCAGTGTATTCATGTCTCTGGTTTAACTATTTATTAAATATATATTTAGAAAGAAAAGATAACCTTTAAGGAATCTCACTAAGCATTGGGAAAAACTCAGTCTCTTGGCTTGATAACTTGAAGAAAAAGTTTTTTCCTTCAGTGAATTCTTTATTTGATCCCAATTTATATCTTTTCCCTCTTATACTCTATCTTCCAAACAGCAGCCAGTTATTCTTTAAAAATAATTGACAACCTCTCTCCATGTTCAATGGCTTTCAACCTTATCATAAAGCAGAATCCAATATCCTTATTATATTGCATCATAACACACCTTATTTTAACCTCTGACTTCATCTCTTTCATCTTTCCCTTGCTCCCTCTGATTCATAAACATCCTTTCCCTGACAACCCTCAAACATACCGAGGTTGCTGATACCTTTGTATTTGCTCTTTCCTCTGCCTTAAACAATGTTAACCAAAATATCTGCATGGTTCCCTACTTTTGTCTCTAATTTGGTCTGTGCTCAAATATTAATTTATCACATGGATGTTCTCTGACAAACATCTATAAAATTATACTTTATTATTTTTATCTCCTTTAGACTGTTTTATTTTTCTTGATGGATCTCTTTACCTCTTTATATATGCCTATTTATTTATTTTTGGTATTTTGACACTAGAATATAAGATCCTTTCCTACCGCATTATGTTTTTCTATGACAGGGGCTTTGTATCTTTGTTTATTACTGTATCTCCAGGGTGTAAAACAACATCTTGCATATAGTATAAACTGAAATATATTAGCAGACCAAATACATGAATTAGACAATTTTATCAAAGGAATTTTAACCTAATGGATAGGTGCACAATTACAGTAAAATAAGTCTTATAAATATCCTATATGAATAAAAGCAATGGGCTATGCTGGAAAAGAACCATAACCAATATAGTCTAACTCATAGATCTTATTACCTAATTGCTATCAACTGCATGGATGTAAAATGGGAGTTCTTCTCACTTCTTTTTTCCTTTTTCTTTTCATCTATTTTCTTTCTTGTAATCTGACAGCTCTCTCTAATTTTGAATAATATCCAGCTGTTTTACCTATTGCTTTTTTATTACACTATATTAATTTTACTCTGTAAGTTGGACCAACTATGCTCATAAGAACTGAAATGGAGAAAAATTCCTCTTTGAAAATTTCCATTATACTCAGTTGCAATTCTTAGCCACTAATTATATGATAATACATAATATCATGACATTTGAGACCTAAATGAATCTTGAGATATAGCCACACCAATGCAAGGAAAGCTAGTACCAGTGAATTCCGACTCTGTACCAAGCACCATAATAAGGACCTTATATACAAACATTTCAATTATTAACCTTCATGACAACCATGTATATTATATACAAATCCTTCAAGAAATATGTGTGCTTGTCCTTTTCAGTTATCAAAACAACATACAAAGAAATAAGACATTAAAGGTAATATTTTTTATTTAGAAATATCCTTCTGCTTGGCTGCAGAAGTAGGTTTTACAGTAGTCCACAGTCAAGACAACTCATATCTAATGCCAAAATTTACTGGCCTTATCTCCCCTACTAAATTGATGTTGGGGGTATGGAATTGGGTGTCATGTGGAGACACAGAACTCTGGGCATTGGACTAGAGCAGACACTAAGATCCTTTCCTGGGGTACAGTGTAGCCCATCTACAGTTATGAGCCGTATAATAGCATTCCAGTCAACTACAGACTGCATATACAACAGTGGTCCCATAAGATTATAATATCATATTTTTACCTTTTCTATGTTTAGATATATTTTTACCTTTTCTATGTTTAGATATATTCAGACACACAAATAATTCCCATTATGCTACATCTGTCTACTGTATTCAGTACAGCAAAATGCTGGGAGGTTTGTAGCCTAGGAGCAATAGGCTATACTACATAGCCTAGATGTGTAGTAGGTTATACTATCTGGATTTGTGTAAGTACATTCTGTGATGTTTGCACAACAAAATCATCTAATGAGGTATTTCTCCAAAGGTATCCCTGTCCTTAAGCAATGTATGACTGCACCTCCCTCACTCCCTTTATGAACAATGTCTGCAATTTCTTATGCTCTTAGATTTGGTTTATCCTTTGACCTTCTAATTAGATATTTTTTTGCCTTAATATAGTCCCACCCTGTTTTGCTATGCATTTTTTCTAAATATTATATATTATTAATTCCATGATGCTCCATTTCTGGGAAGAAACTAAGACTCTGAGGAGTTAAATAATATCCATAGTAACCCAGTTCTTCAAGTAGCGGTTCTTTGACTCATGTCTGACTTCACACTATTTTATTCTGCCTAAGATTCAAGATAAAATCTAAACTATAGCCAATGTCTCTTGGATGCAAATCAGTGAAAAGAGGTTTGTACACCCACAAATGATTCACAACAAACTAAAAAGAACTCGATTCATCCCCTCCAGGCTGTATCAATTTTACAAGGTTCTAAGCATTAGTGTTCATAACTAAAAATAAATCAAATTAAGAAATCTTTCTTTTCTGACTTTATAAGAGGATTATCTTTTAAATTATTAATATGCCAGCTTATAAATCTGGCTTTAACAATCAATCGGATGTCTGTCTATGTTGAAATATGGTATTTTTTATATAAAGCAAGATAATGAAAATTTGACTTTGTTATTTTATCGATGTGTTTTCCTTGGATCATATTCCAAGAATGTTGGGTTTCTCCATTAGAGGAGACTGTGAATAAGACATTTTATTAAGGTGATCTATGTATATTCACCCATAATATCTAATTTATTGCCAAACTATGTTGATATTTTAAAGTATTGCTTAGTGAATCTTTTCATCTCTCTGCCATCACCCTGAATCAAGTTCTTATTATCTTGAGTACAAGTCACTGGGGTTGGAGTTATTGCAGAAGTCAAGTATTGCTATGGGTCCCAAGCACAGACCAAAAAATCATAGAATGTTGGAATATATCTTACATCAGAAAACAGGACTATTTTCAAATACATATACCTATGACGAATAACAAAAAACTTACCTAAATTATTACTTAATTTATAAAACTTCAACATTATGTATTTTAATGTATATTTAAAGATCAACTATAATCATACAGGGGCTATAAACAGTTTCCAAAAATAGAAGAGTACACACTCAAAATATTTGGAATGACTTATGAGAATTACAGTTAGTTCCAAAGTGAGCTCTTTACCATTTCTGTATTACAATTCCTAAATTGATAACAAGCAAAAGTTTAGCAACTGTAAAGTGAATAAATAAACTGTGGTATACTTATATAATTGAATACTATTCAGCAATGAGAATGAACTCCATGCACAACATAGGTGGATATCACAAATATAATACTGAGCAAAAGATGGAGACACAGCATAATTTTGCAAGATCCCAACTCCCTGGAGGTTTGGATAGTGGTCACCTTGATAGAAAACAGGGCTAGGAGAAAGCAAAGAGAGAGTTTCTAGAGTGCTGATAATATTTTAACCCTTGTTATTGGCAATAGTTACCTAGATGGGTCCACCTCCACAAGCTGTATTCTTATCTGTATAAACCTAGGTTTTAAGAATCAATTAAAAAGATTACTATCAAAAGTTACTGACTGCCCTAAACTTAAAGTACCTCTTGGGTCATGTTATTTAATTAATATAAAAAGACTTACTAATTAATCTTCCAAATCAAGACATGTCTGAGAGTAAATAAGGATGCCATTAATAGTTACTCCAGTACCATCCCATACAAACCACCTCAGGACATGTGT
The DNA here is from genome assembly GCF_000001405.40 of Homo sapiens. NCBI lineage: Eukaryota > Metazoa > Chordata > Mammalia > Primates > Hominidae > Homo > Homo sapiens. The sequence continues at coordinate 96,819,645 of NC_000011.10, read as the reverse complement.
TTACCCTGTTAAATTTCTTGAATGGTTCTTTCTTTTCTTTAGTTCTGACATAACTATTTATGAACAGAATTTATCAACCTTTTACTCACCCATTTTAAGCTTTTTGAGGTTTGAGGTGATGTCATAGCTACTCTAAATGCCCTAGAAGAGCTAGAAGAGTAAAACTGATAGCGTCAAATTTAGAAATTTAAAACAGCAACATTTGCTCTATTAAGATCAAAGCAGCCTTTGACATTTAAGAATGTTCAGAACTGAGTCATCAAAAAATATTGATTGGGATTATTAAGAATATTGGTCATAATTCAAAGAGCAGGGTAAGACAGAAAGCAGAAGAACATGATGAAACCCATAGAGTAAGGGAGGCCCATAGCAGAAAGAAAAGGATGGTCCCATTGTAAGATGAAGCTGCTTCCAAAGGAAAAACAAAGCTATCTTTTTGCACATGATTTTCATATAATAAATGAGCCTGTGAAAAATTAGAAATCTCATAGGAGACCATTAATTCTTAGGGGTATGTAAGAATTACAGTTTATCTACTATCAACCTAAAGACAGTAGGATATGCAATGTCAGTGGAGAGAATAACTTTTGACCAATTTTTCAGTTATTAATTTCTCATGCATTTTTTAAAAAGGTAAGAAGTGACGATAGAAAGAAAAATAAATTACTTTTTTGGTGGTCTAATAGGATCATTCCAAAAAATTCAAGGCAAACAATAGATTAAAATGTGTATAGTTCTCTATTATCTGGCTAATGTATGCTGTGGGGATTGAAGGATAATAAAGAGGTAGGAAGTTCTCAAAAGTAGGTGATGCATGTTAACTTACTATGACACACAAACAATTAACATATGAGAGGGAACAGGTAGCATTAGAAGATCTGGCTGGGTAAGGTTTGAAGCTCTTGTTCTTCCTCATCAAAATATTGTGGTCCCCAGTGTCGCCTCTCTGATACCAGTTCCCAGTCAGATGTGCCCCAGAGGGTGCTTCCCTCTCCACATCCTCTCCTTCTGCCTAAACAGTCTGAGCATCTAACCCTCAGCACTGAGACTGCTCAAGTACAATTTTAAAAAAAAGGTTCAATTGATCTCTTCATAGTTGATGTGTTGTCTTCTGAAGTTACTTTAAATTATTATTACTCTGGACCCTTTTTCACCCCTGCCTTTCAGCATGCATCACTCTTCACATTGATTTTCATCATTTCAATGTAATTGGAACTAGAAAACGTCCAGCAGGAGCAAAAGTCCATCCACAATAGTAGCTTTTCAAATATCTACTTACTGCTCACCTGTGCAAAGGGGAGATTTGAATCTGATTATGAAGAATCCAGAAAATCCCTTCATTTTTCCCCACTTACACAAAGTAATACAAAAATCCCTCAGGGGAAACCTCCAACAGGACTTATCTGTTTCCACAACTTTTATCTCTGTTGATCCCAGGCTCAGTTACATCAGAATATTTTACTTTTACAGACATTGTTTATCAATTCTTTCCAGCATGAAAAGTATGTATTAAAGTGATCACCTGAGTTATGCCCCAAGGCAATATTAAGCATTCCCTTTCCTACCAAGTGATTTTCTGTCAACTAGTGTATTTGGTACTCTTGGGAAAGGCAGAGATTCATTTATAAAGAATTATGCTACACAGTCATAAATTTAATCCCCCAAATCAATAGCATTTAGATTTTTTAAGATGATAACCAAGGTGCTATCAACAATAATAAAGTCTCTGTTCTTTACAGTCAGATTATTTTTGCAAACGTAAGTATTTGACTATTGGAAAACCACAGTGTTATAATGCCTATCTAGTGGGAGACTTCCCCACTGGATATGTTACAGCAGGAGAATGTAAAGCTTCAGAATGTGTCAATCAGAAAATTTCCAAGAACGATTCATCACCACTCTCATGATATGACGTTAAAGACAGTTTATCTCTACACACCAGACATGTAGAAAGTGGCCCTAAACTGGCTGAAGCAATGATCAGATAATATGGTACATTCACTCCTCTCTGTCATGAATCACAGAGTTTTATACTATCCACTTAGCATTCCCCTGCATATTACAGCCTAATGTAGGAATGTCAAACATTTTAATTCACCAAAGGACAAATGAATCATAAATGTTACAACCCAGACACAGGTTTCACTGTTTATAGACATACTGAGGTGGCAGAGACATGACACCTTCATTTAAAACTAGGATTGGATTTCTGACTGATGCAGTTTTTGACAGAGAACTAATGTGTTTCGGTGCTAGAAATGAAAAATTTTCTCTGTCACAGGTGGTTGAGAATGGCCAGTTACAGAAGCCTATCTTAAAGCTGTTTCTTCATCCCCAAAGATTTCTTGGCCAGTTGGGTTCTCAATCTTAGGACTACTGTTTTAGATACATTATGGTACATCTGGGCACAATGACAAGGAGTGAGAAAAATTGTTTCTTAGCTGTCAATAAAGAAAGTTCTTCCTTCAGGGGCTCTGGTCCATAACTCTACACTGAGATTTGCAGTATCTGCAGCTACGTGTGGAGTTTGGGTGAGGAAGATGGATTGTACCATTAGAAGAGTTTAGGCAGGAGTGCATATTACAAATTAAGCTAAAGGAATTTCTGTGCAACTATCTCTAGGTGAAGAGTGATAGTAGCTGCTAGGTTCATAATTTACATCCTTTATTTGGAGTCAGCTGCAGGTTTTCTTCTCAGTAAACTGGGAATAATACTAACATCCATTTCAAAATATCACTATGAGAATTAAATAAGAAAATGTTTGTTTATTTAAAATAAAATCTGACATACTTTTTCCTACAAGAAATATAAGTTTCTACCACTGTTATCAATAAAGGCATTAACCAGCTCAGCTCTCAAGTATCCAATTTCTTATTTCTATAACATCTGTTGTTTGTTTCTCAAAATGCTATTTTAAGAGTACAAGTGCCAGCAGCAAACACGCAGCACTAAGACTCTGTCCAAGAACTTCCATTTCCATTGCAAGTGGATTTAGACAAACTATGATACAAGTGCAATTAAGAAAACTGTATTTACTTACTGAAAGTCCAGAGAGTCTGCCAAATCCGTTTGAAGACATTAATTTACAGATAAAGTGAGTTCTAATCAAGTTCATATAATTTGAAAAGCAGAGATGAAAGTAGAACTTGAGCCTAGAGCATCAGACTGCAAACCCACATTTAATCTAAAGTAACGAAACTCTTCTAATCTATGTACTGTGATAAGCAGTTTGTGGGGGGGAACAGCATCCTACATGTTCAGTACTATAAAAAATTTAATTAGAATTGTTAAAAGAAAAGAGAGGAGAAATTCATATGAAACTTGAAAGTGCAGCTTCAAATGAATGATTGCTTGGAAGTGACAAAAGTGGGAGTCACCAAGATGACACCAATTATTGACTTAATCATTCATCATTCACTGTGTTATATATGTGAACTGAGCATTTATAGGCTCCAGACTCTGCTAAGCTCTACTGCACAAAGTTAAGAAAGAGAGAGGGGGACAGGGGGAACTCTTGTGGCCAAGGAGCCCACTTTTTTTTGGCAGGACAGAAATATTTAAACAATTGTTACAAAGAATATAAGTTCTGAGATAAAAGTGTAATGCTGGGAAAATGCCAGGTGGAACATATCACTATGTAATACGTTCAAGGGGAATCAAGGAAAGCTGCTTAAAAGGAGGGAGGGTCTAGAAGGTAAAAAACTGAGCCAAAAAAAGAAAGAAATGAATATTAGGTCCAAACAGGTGCAAAAGAAGTGTGCCAAGCAGAACAATATGTGATTTAGGGAATGCGTACAGCATTTGGTATGAAAAAAAAAAAAAAAGAATGGAGTTATTCAAAGCAGAAAGGGGTAAAGTTGGAGGAGAAAAAAAAAAGCAAATTTCAGCTAAGGATACAAACAAGTACATGCCTGGGGAAAGAAGAATGACAATAGCTGGAAAAGACTTAAAATTATCCAGCAATATCTCTCTCATTACGTGGCTCAGCTTCACTAAGACATAAAAATCTCTATGATCAATCAGCGTAAAAGAGCACACAATTATCTGTCCAATATTTAGATACAGGAAAGATGTGCAGTAATGAAAACATCACAAGGAAAATCCAGTTTGAGAGCAAAGATTGCTAAACTGAATATTATCTAAGTTTCTGTCAAACACCCAGACTTGGGCACAAGCACATTGCCTAATCTCCCCATATGTACACCATCGATCTCATAACACACTCCATCTGCCAAACTCCATCAGCACATTATTGAAGAAACACTGATTAAAGGAAAAAAGTAAACCTAAAGTTATCACTAACAACGTTTACATAAAATGAATACCTCTAAAGATAAAAACTGAATTTTTGTCCAAAGCATACAATTTTAAAGAAAGCTTCTGCCAGTACATATTTAAATTACCTCTCCTGATTTCTGACTTCCCTTCTAACATGTAAAGCACTTGGAAGTCATCAGGTTCATTCTTTTTTATTATTATTATATTTTAAGTCCTGGGATACATGTGCAGAACGTGCAGGTTTGTTACATAGGTATACAGGTGCCATGGTGGTTTGCTGCACCCATCAACCTATCATCTACATTAGGTATTTCTCCTAATGCTATCCTTCCCCTAGCCACCCATCCCCCAATAGGCCCAGGTGTATGATGTTCCCCTCCCTGTGTCCATGTGTTCTCATTGTTCAACTCCCATTTATGAGTGAGAACATGTGGTGTTTGGTTTTCTGATCCTGTGTTAGTTTGCTGAGAATGATGGTTTCCAGCTTCATCCATGTCCCTGCAAAGGACATGAACTCATTCATCCTTTTTTATGGCTGCACTGTATTCCATGGTGTATATTTGCCACATTTTCTTAATCCAGTCTATCATTGATGGGCACTTGGATTGGTTCCAAGTCTTTGCTATTGTAAACAGTGCCGCAATAAAAATATGTGTGCATGTGTCTTTATAGTAGAGTGATTTGTAATCCTTTGGGTTATATACCCAGTAATGGGATTGCTGGGTCAAAATGGCATTTCTAGTTCTAGATGCTTGAGGAATTGCCACACTGTCTTCCACAATGATTGAATTAATTTACACTCCCACCAACAGCGTAAAAGTGTTCCTATTTCCCCACATCCTCTCCAGCATCTGTTTTTTCCTGACTTTTTAATGATCACCATTCTAACTGGCGTGAGTTGGTATCTCTTTGTGGTTTTGATTTGCATGTCTCTAATGACCAGTAATGATGAGCTTTTTTCCGTATGTTCCTTGGCCACATAAATGTCTTCTTTTGAGAAGTGTCTGTTCATATCCTTCGCCCACTTTTTGATGGGGGTTTTTGGGTTTTTTTTTTTGTACATTTGTTTAAGTTCCTTGTAGATTCTGGATATTAGCCCTTTGTCAGATGGATAGATTGCAAAAATTTTCTCCCACTCTGTAGGATGCCTGTTCACTCTGATGGTAGTTTCTTTTCCTGTGCAGAAGCTCTTTAGTTTAATTAGATCCCATTTGTCAATTTTGGCTTTTGTTGCCATTGCTTTTGGTGTTTTATTCATGAAGTTTTTGCTAATGCCTATGTCCTGAATGGTATTGCCTAGGTTTTCTTCTAGGGTTTTCATGGTTTTAGGTCTTACATTTAAGTCTTTAATCCATCTTGAGTTAATTTTTATATAAGATGTAAGGAAGGGGTCCAGTTTCAGTTTTCCGCATATGGCTAGCCAGTTTTCCCAACACCATTTATTAAATAGGGAATGCTTTCCCCATTGCTTGTTTTTGTCAAGTTTGTCAAAGATCAGATGTGTTAGATGTGTGGTGTTACTTCTGAGGCCTCTATTCTGTTCCATTGGTCTATATATTGGTTTTGGTACCAGTACCATGCTGTTTTGGTTACTGTAGTCTTGTAGTGTAGTTTGAAGTCAGGTAGCATGATGTCTCCAGCTTTGTCCTTGCCCAGGACTGTCTTGGTTATGCAGGCTCTTTTTTGGTTCCATATGAAATTTAAAGTAGTTTTTTTCCAATTCTGTGAAGAAAATTAATGGTAGCTTGATGGGGATAGCACTGAATCTATAAATTACTTTATGCAGTATGGCCATTTTCATGATATTAATTCTTCCTATCCAAAATAATGGAATGCTTTTCCACTTGTTTGTGTCCTCTCTTATTTCCTTGAGCAGTGGTTTGTAGTCGTCCTTGAAGAGGTCCTTCACATCCCTTGTAAGTTGTATTCCTAGGTATTTTATTATCTTAGTAGCAATTGTGAGTGGGAGTTCACTCATGATTTGGCTCTCTGTTGGTATGTAGGAATGGTTGTGATTTTTGCACATTGATTTTGTATCCTGAGACTTTGCTAAAGTTGCTTATCAGCTTAAAGAGATTTAGAGCTGAGATGGTGGGGTTTTCTAAATATACAATCATGTCATCTGCAAATAGAGACAATTTGACTTCTTCTTTTCCTATTTGAATACACTTTATTTATTTATCTTGCCTGATTGCCCTGGCCAGAACTTCCAATACTATGTTGAATAAATGTCCATTCTTAAAACAAGAAAACTGAACATCAATGACTATGTAAACCTATCAGAAAACTGAGGTCACAGGACCAAAAAAAAAAAAAATCCCCCAATCTAGAGAGACAGGTACATCCAGAGAGATACAGCAACAGTAATATACTTCGAAATAGAAGCCCCCCTGAAACATAAATTTAGAAGAATGCATATAATTTTAGTGGATTCCAGGAGGCCAAATATGGATCAATGTAAAAGTAAAAAACTGCAAATAATTGCAGTTTGAAAGGGATCCCCATACTTCTGTGGACCTTACCAACAAGAACCCACCAGATTCTCATGATGAAGATCCAAGAAAGAGTTCCTCTGGGTCTTAGCAAGGAAACAGAATCTCCTTTATAAGACATGGCAAGAGCCTTCTTCATAATAAAAGCCTTCTCTCCACAGAAAAGTATTTTGCCAGAATATAATTTTGAAATCTTATCACGGCTGGGGGAAGGGAATTTCCTCCCCAGTAGAGATCCCTGCAAAATCCTTTTACTCTCCAAAGGGAAAAAATACGTAGTTAACAGGGGATGGTGTTTCAAGGAAATAGATTAGGAACACTGAAGCCAAGAAAGAAATTAAGAGGCAGGGGTGGAGAGAGGAGGAAGTACATCAGTGGAGAAAAACTGGTGAAGGTCACAGCCACAAGATGCAGGCCAACTAAAAATCTGAAACGTCATCAAAAGATTATAAAATGCTCCTCCTGCCCTATACCCTCACATTCCAGCAAAAAAAAAGATAATGTAACACTGTAAGAGTGGAGTAGAGCTGAAAAAAACTGCAAGATCTATCAAAAAATGCAAAAAAAAAAAAAAAAAAAAAAACTAGACCATCTCTAAATAGTATTTTCAAAAGCCCAAAGCCAAGAGGAGAGAAAAATATGACATTAGTGGTGTTAAATACCTCTATCTGGCTGGGCACGGTGGCTCACGCCTGTAATCCCAGCACTTTGAGAGGCCAAGGTGGGTGGATCACCAGAGGTTGGGAGTTTGAGACCAGCCTGACCAACATGGAGAAACCCCATCTCTACTAAAATTACAAAAAATTAGCCGGGCGTGGTGACACATGCCTGTAATCCCAGCTACTCAGGAGGCTGAGGAAGGAGAATTGCTTGAACCTGGGAGGTGGAGGTTGCGGTGAGGTGAGCTCGTGCCATTGCACTCTAGCCTGGACAACAAGAGTGAAACTCCATCTCAAAAAAAAAAAAAAAAAAAAGCCTCTATCACCAACAGCTACAGCAAGCATTAAAAACAGCCCAACGCCTAACTCCTAATAGAATAACATATGATCTCATACTCAAGGTCTGTTTACCTTACTTCCTATCTATATCCTGCTCTCCTCTTTCATTTCTAATTTTATTTATTTGAGCAGAATTATTTACAATAGCAGGTTATAGAAACATCCTAAAGGTTTATCAACAGATTATTAAAGAAGTTGCCATATATATGTGTGTGTGTGTGTGTGTGTGTGTGTATACATATATACACACATACACAATGGAATATTATTTAGCCTTAAAAAAGAAGATTCTTATATTTGTGACAACATAAATGCACCCAGAATTATGCTAAATGTAACAAGCCAGACACATAAAAAATACTGTATAATCTAACTTATATATGAAATCTAAAAGACAGAGGAAAGACAAAAACTGAAATATATGGAATCAGAGATTACATAGGCAGTAACCAGTATTGAAGAGGTGGGGGAAATATAGGCCAAAGGGTACAAAAATGCAGTTATTTGGATAAATAGGGCTAGAGATCTAATTTACATCACAAGGTCTATCATAAGAATATTATATTCTGTATTGGAAACTTGCTAAGAGAGTTGATTTTAGGTACTCCTACCCTTACCCCAAAACAAATCAGCTAGCTATGTGAGATGATGGATATGTTAATTTACTTGACTATAGTAATCACTTCACCATGTATATGTCAAAACATGAAGACTTCTATGATCACATGTTGGGAGATGGTTTCTTCCTATCATCAAGTGAGCAATCAATTCTGCAGCAGACACCAGCTGGGTACCCACCAATTCAATTCTGACATTATCTACCTAAAGATAGCATCAGATCACACAGATTAAGTGCCAATCCAATACTGCCTCCAACTTCAGACAATGGTCACAATTCTGAGCCTCTGAAACTTCTGACCCTCTAGCTTCATGCTGGGGTTCCCATGACTCCATCTTTTGGTTCAATTAATTTGCTAGGGAGGTCACAAAACTAAGGGAAACACTTATGTTTACCGTTCAGTCTAAAGGACATTACAAAAGACAGTGAAAAAGAGATGCATAAGGCAAAGTATGGGGAAAGGAACAGGGAGCTTCCATCCCCCCCAGGGTGTGCCACTCTCCAGGAAACTTATGTGTTCAACACCCCAATCTCAGTAATGCATAGATCATCCAGAGATAAAATCAACGAAGAGACATTGGAGTTAAACTACACACTAGATCTAACTGACATTTACAAAACATTTCACCCATCTGCTATAGAATATCCATTCTTTCCATCAGCACATGGAATGTTCTCCAGAGTAGATCGTATCTTAGGCCACAAAACAAATCTGAAAAAATTCAAAAAAGTAGAAATTATATCAAGTATCTTTTCTGACCACAATGGAATAAAACTAGAAATTAATAAAAAGAGGAACCTCAGAAACTTTATAAACACATGTCAATTAAATAGCATGTTCCCCAATGATAAATGGGTAAATGAAGAAATTAGACAATAAATTTTAAAATTTATTGAAACAAATGAAAATGGAAATACAACATATCAAAATCTATGGGATACAGCAAAAGCAGTACTACGAGGGATGTTTATAGCAATATACCTCCAAGAACTACAAAAACAAGGACAAACCAAACCCCAAATTAGCAGAAGTAAACAGTAAAGATCAGAGTAGGAATAAATATAATTGAAACAACAAAACATACAAAAGATCAACAAAACAAAAATTTGGTTTTCTGAAAAGATAAAATCAGGAAACCTTTGGCTAGACTAACTAAAAAAGAGAGAGAAATCCAAATAAATAACATTTAAAGCAACAAAAAATGATATAACAACTGAGACGTCAGAAATACAATGAATCGTTTCAGACTATTATGAACTTGACAACAACAAACTGCAAAACCTTGAAGAAATAAATAAATTTCTAGATACATAAAACTTACCAGTACTGAGACATAAAAAAAATAGAAAATCTCAATAAACCAATAATGAGTAATGTGATTGAGGCTATAATAAATAGCTTCCGATTAAAGAAAAGCCCAGGACCTGACAGCTTCACTGCTGAATTCTAACAAACATTTAAAGAGCTAATGCCAATTTTACTCAAACTCTTCAAAAAAATTAAAAAGCAGAAAATACTTCCAAACTCATTCTATGAGACCAGCATTACCCTAATACCAAAATTAGACAAGGGCACAACAATAAAGAAAAGTACAGGCCAACATCATCGATGAACGTAGATGCAAAAATCCTCAACAAGATACTAGCAATCTGAATTCAACAACACATTAAAAAGACCATTCACCCTGATCAAATGGGATTCATCCTAGAGATACAAGGATGATTCAACACATGCAACTCAATTAATATGCTACATCACATTAACAAATTTCAAGAAAAAAAGTATGATTCTTTAAAAAGATGCCAAAAAAAGCATTTGATGAAATTCAACATCCCTTTATTGTAAAAATCCCCATCAATCTGAGTATAAAAGGAACTTACCTTAAAAATAACAAAATCTACACATGACAAACCCACAGCTAATATACCGACTAGGGAAAAAACTGAAGGCCATTTCTCTAAGCTCTGGAACAAGAGAAATATACCATATAAAAGACAAAGATTATCAGGATGGATTTAAATAAAGTGAAAAAAAAGAGACCTAAATACCTGTTGTGTAGAAAAAGAACTTTAAATACAAAGACTAAAGTAATTTAAAAGTAAAGAAATGGAGAAATATATACCATGCTAATCACAACAAAGCTGGAGTACTATGTTAATTTTGAGACAAAGCAGATTTGACTAAAAGAAAAATAATCAGGGATAAAGAAAGACTAAAACATAGTAACAAAGAGATCAATTCTCCAAAGGACATAACAATTCTTAATGTATATTGACCTAACTATAGTGCATCAAAATATGTGAGGCCAAATAGTCATTAAAATATGTGAGGCCAAAAAATTATCAGCACTCCTCTTTAGTTAACAGAACGAACAGGCAGAAAGTCCGTAAGGACATAATTGACCTGAACAACACTACTAATCCACTTGATTTATTTGATATGTATTGTCATTGTTGTTGAATACTTCACCCAACAACAGCAGAATACATATTATCCTCAAGATCACGAAGAACATTCATCAAGATAGACTATTCTGGGCCATAAAACACACCATAACAAATTTAAAAGAGTGAAAAGATACACAAAGTGTATTGTCTGACCACAGTGAAATAAACAAGATATCAAAAACAGAATGATAGCTAGAAAATTTGTACATTTGGGAATTCAACAACATGCTTCAAATTTACGCACAGGTCTGAGAAGACTCCAGAAAACCTTTAAATGTTCTGAATTAAATAAAATGTCAATTCAACTCACCAAATTTTGTGGGATTCAGCAAAAGCAGTGCTTTGAGGGAAATTTATAGCATTGATGTATATATTTAAAAAAAGATTTAAACTAAATAATCTAGAATTTTACTTTAGGAAACTGGAGAAAGAAGATCAATTTAAGCCAAAAACAAGCAAAAAAAAAAAAAGAAATAATAAAATTAGAGTAAAAATTATAAAATCGGAAACACAAAAATTAGAGAAAATCAACAAAATACAAGTCTGCTTCTTCAAAAGATCAATAAAATTGGTAAGCCTCCACCTAGGCTAATCAAGAAATTTTAAAAATTCACACCTTATTAATATAGAAAACGAAATACAGATTATGACTACTGATTCCATGGTCACTAAGGATAATCAGGGAATGCTGTGAACAATTCTCTGCCCACAAATTTAATAACTTAAATGAAATGGAGAAATTTATTGAAAGACACGAACTACCAATACTCATCTAGAAGAAATAGATAACCTGAATAGGTCTATATCTATTATTGAACTTCGAATCAATAATTAATAACTTATTTTAAAAAAGAAAGCACTAGGCCCAGATAGTTTCTCTAGTGAATTCTCCCAAACATTTAATAAAGAAATGATATCAATTCTCCGTAATCTAGTCTAGAAAATAGAAGCTGAGGAAATGCTTTCTTACTCATTTTGTGTGGCCAGCACTACCCTAATACCAAAAACAGATAAATTTTCACTATGAAGAAGAGGAACTACAGATCAATATGTGCTATGAACATAGATGCAAAAATCTTTAACAAAATATTAGCAAATCACATCCAACAATATATACAAAGAATTATAGATCACAATGAAGTGGGATTTGTTTCAGGTATAAAAGGCTATATCTATTTTTAAAAATTAACCGATTCAATTATCTACCATGTCAATACACTAAAGAAAAAAAATGAACATATCAGTTGATACAGAAAACAAATCACACCCATTTAGGATAAAAAAGAAACTCTCAACAAATCAGAAATAGAACATTTCCTCAGTTTCATAAAGAATATTCACAAAAAAACTTTAGCTAATATTATACTTAGTAGTGAGAAGGTGGGTGCTTTTCCCTTAAGATCAGGAACAAGGCAAGGATGTACTCTCTCACTACTCCTACCCAACATTGTACTGAAAGTCAAGAAAAAGAGAAATAAAAAAATACAGAAGAAGAAAGAAAAAAGCTTTTGTTTACAGATATAACTGTATATGTAGAAAATCCTACATAATTGATAAAAGAAAATCGCCTGGTACAAATCAGCAATTAGAGCAAGTTGCAGGAAGGATATGAGTTAATACACAAAAGTTAATTGCTTTACCGTCTTGAATAAGCAGAAATAAATAATTGGAATTTGAAATTCAAAAACCAATTTGAAATTACAGTTGTACTAGCAAAATAAAAACAGTATAAACCCAAAAAATATTTTAAAACATTTACAGACTCTAAGACCAAAAACTACAAAACTATGATAAAACATTTTAAATATCTAAATAAATAATCCATGTTCATAGAATGGAAAACTCAAGTTGTTCAGATATTAGTCCTTCCCTCTTGTTATATAGATTAAATGCAACCCCATTGAATCTATATAACCTATTATTCTGTATCTTCAATTATCCTATCTACCACACATATAGATATCCAGTTATTCCGATACCCTATGCATTGTCTGTACTCCTTTTTAACAGTCAGTTGAACAACTTCATCTGGGTCTATTTCTGGGCTCTTTTCTTACCTATGTGTTTATTCTTTCACCAGCACCATTCTGTCTTAATTATATAGCTTTATAGCAAGTCTTAAAATCATGTAATGTGAGTCCTCCAGCTTTGTTTTTTTTTTGGTTTTTTTTTTTTCAGTATTGCATTCCCTATTCTAGGCTTTTTCCTTTTGTATAAACTTTAAAATCAGTTTATTGATGTCTACAAAATAGCTTGCTGGTATTTTTTTGCCTTATGTGATAAAAGGGACCCTGTGGATGTGATTACATTGAAGATTCTGATATGGGATGTTATACAGGATTATCCCGGTCAAAGTAAGCAATCACAGTGTATTATGAAAGGGAAACAGGAGGGAAAGAATGAGAGAATAAGATGTGACAACAGAGGCAGAGATTTGAATATGTCACACTACTGCTTTAAAGATGAAGGAGTGTCCATGAGCCAAGAAATTGAGGTGACCTCTAGAAGCTGCAAAGACAAGGAGACAAATTCTCCCTTAGAACCTCCAGAAGTAACACAGCTCCCAAAACCCATTTTGGATTTCTGATCTCAAGAACTGTAAAATAATAAATTTGTGTTGTTTTAGGACAGCAAACTTGTAGTAATTTGTTACAGCAGTGCTAAGGAACTAATACTTGTATAAAATAATGGATCCTAATGCAGACCTTATACTGTCATAAATATTAAGTCAAAATGAATCATTGAATCATAAGGCTAAATAGAATACGGCATATTGTAAAACTTATAGAAGAAAACACAGGAGAACATCTAGGTGATCTTTGGTTTGATGATTAATTTTTAGGTACCATACCAAAAGCAAAATCCATCAAAGAAAATGTATAAAATGACCTTTGTTAAAAGTTTTAAAACAACTTCTTTTGGAAATAGGCTACTAAGAGAATCAAAAGACAAGTGTCATATGTTGAGTAATGGCCCCCAAAGATGTCCACATTCTAATCTCCAGATCCTATATGTCACTTTACATGCAAAAGGGATTTTGCTGATGTGATTAAGGATTTTGAGATAGAGAGATTATCCTGAATTATCTGGGTTATCCCAAAGTAAACACAAGGGTTCTTAAAAAAGGAGGCAGCAGAGTCATAGAGAGAGACTGCAAAATACTGTACTGCTGGCTTTGAAGACGGAGGATGGGGCCATGAGCCAAGAAATGCAGGCAGCCTCTAGAAGCTAAAAGAGGGAAGGAAACGAATTCTCCCTTAATGCCTGTAAACAGAATATAGCCTGGCAATACCATGTTTCTGAGACTTCTGACCCCCAAGAAATGTTAGTGGATAAGTTTGTATTATTTAAGTCGCTGACTTGTTACAGCAGCAATAGGAAACTGAAATCCCCAGCCACAGACTGGGAGGAAATACTTGCAAACATATGGCTGAAAAAGGATTCTCATCCAAAGTACGTCACAAACTTTGAAAACTCCACAGTAAGAAAACAAAAACTATTTTCAAAAATGGGCAAAAGATCTGAACAGATACCTTACCAAAGAAGATAATCATAAAATTTTTAAAGCATATGAGAAGAAGCTCAGCACATTAGTCATCAGGCAATTGTAAATTGTATTATCATACAATCTGGCAACTGTGCTCCTGGGTAATTATCCAACTAACTGAAAAAATGTATGCCCAAATAAAAACCTACATATAAGTGAACATAGCAACTTTATGTAAAATAGCTAAAAACTGGAAGCAAAAAAGATGCCCTTCAATAGGATAACAACAGTAGTATAAACAAAAGAGATACAATCATACCAAAAACACCTGAACAAAATACCTTGAAATTACTCCTCAAAATTGACAAAAATCTTCAAAGACAAGGAAAATCTGAAAATGTCAATCTAGAGGAGCCAAAGGATACAAGACAACTAATTATAATGTGGTATACTTGATATGAATATGTGTATATATGTACATAGGTATACACACATATATCAGACGGTCAGCATTACATTTAATAGAAAAATAATGAGTTAAAGCCACTAATAAGTTATAGACAAAACAGAAAAATTTTAAAACAAAATAAGAGATGAAATAATACTCACCAAAAATACAAGAAATTAAAATAAAACCATTAAAATTATTCCACTGAAGTGTCTAGATACAAGAAAAAGTTATTTTCACATTATAGACGGAATCAGAAAATATATATGGAAATATATTTTAGTCACATGAAAATATGTAACATAATCCTACAAAAAATTGTTTGATCTATGTAAATAAAATAAAGGGAGAGAGAGAAGAGGTTTATACATAAATTAAGTATGCCAAGCACTGCACTGGAATTTCACCTTCAAAATAATTCAGTAAGATAGGTATTATATAACCACTACTGATGTGGGTAGTCAGGCTCTGAGTAACTAACTTGCACAAGGTCATAAAATTTGAAAGTGTTTGAACAAGAATTCAAATCTTGAACTGAAAAATGCCAAGGTCTATGTTGTCTCACAGCATTGTGCTACAGAATTTAAAGTTTTCTCATCGTCTCTTCATATTAAGCTATCCCAATGAACGAGAATTCATTTTATTTTATTTTTTTACTATGTTGGTGGAAAATAACCTCGTTGCTTTTATGAACTTTCCAATCTTTGTGGATGTATTCTGCAGTTAAAATCCTAACATTTTCTTGACCTGTTTTCACATTATAAAACTTTAAGAAATTATTCTAATAATTAAGTGTGTATATTATATTCTTTCGATCCATTACTTCATTGTCCTAGTACCTCTATTCTGGTAGGCATTCAAGAAGGTTTCTGAGATTTTTTTTTTATTCTCTTTATACAACATCTTCTGTTGACATCTTGTATTAATACATAGTTTAGAAATCTTGAGTTTTAGTCTTTAATATAAAAAACAGCTGTATGTTCCTTTTCCCCCCTAACATTTAATGTGGAGTACTCAGACAGGAATCTGGTTTTTGTTCTTCCGTGTTTAAAGTGGACTTATTCTTGTGGGATTCATCTATGCAGTTTGAATATTTTTTGAGATTTCACATAATGGTGTTTTTTTTTTATTTTAAACTTTGCTTAAAATAACATGTACTCTATTTCAAGATTAAAAACTTTATTTAGATTTGGAAAAGTTTTATTAAGTGTTTTTGCATACTAGCTGCAGTGCAAGAAAAGTAAAAGCAAGAGGAAAAGAATAAAAACGAGAAAAATCAAAGACCAAAAGATTTAGAACAAAAATAAGTGATAACTTGTAAGTTCCAGTTCTGCCCCGTTAGTTGTGTGTTTTAGAGAAAGTTGTGTAATTCCTAAACTTTATTTTCCATAGCTATGATGATTATAATCCCTGCTCTATGAAATATGTGAATTAAATAGGAAACCAGATATGACGGTGTCTAGCATACTACCAGGTCTGAATGTCCAACCATTAGTGAAAAGGAGAAGAAACGACATTTTAAATATGACCTATGATGAAGAAAGAATTTTATATTGGGAAATTCAGTATCGTTAGAAGATTGCTGAGAAATCTATGAGAAAAATTATATTAACAACTTGTTTAAAATCCAAGCTTTATTCTGCTGTTTAAGACCGGATCTCATTTTGTTCTCTGAGATTTTATTTGGTGTATGACCATGTTTTACCCTCACAATTCAATTATTATGTAAGCATATTTTAAAAGAATTTCTGCATTTTTTAGGGAACAATAGTTATTTTTTTTCCTGTGAAATATAAACTCAAGTGTCCTTCAAGCCTCAAACATAGTGCAATGATTTGGGTCCCACTGTCAATCTCAATTGTCTATACCTATAGGAGGCAAAGCTGTTTTCATTCAAAACAACAGGAGTACAAATATACCAATCCCTGATATCTGGTGCTGTCATTTTACATTACTGCAGTCTGAATGCACTGTCATTTAAAAGCACCAACTAAATTGATCTCTATTTTTTTTTATAATTCAAAAAAATTATACTAACAGGGTTTGGATCCATGAAGAATTATAGTTCATAATGACCAATTTTAACATGTTTTACAATCCATCAAAATGGGAATAATACCTTAGGGTACAATTTATTTTTCTTTATCATAAAATTCTGCCATAGTTACAATGGTCATATACATTTAAAGAAATGAGTCCCCTGCAGAGGTAATGAAAGGAAACGCATTCTATCTTTCTGATGTTTTATTCTGGCTTTTTTGACAGCTGAAGATACCGAAGTGCAATCAAATGCCTTTAGCACAGTAATGAAAAACATAAGCATTAAGCAAATTTGTCCACATGAAATAATTGACAGTGGTACAAAGTGATTCAATTCAGTAGTTTATAAAATATAAGAATCTGATTCAAATTAATTTGGAATGGCAACAATGAGAAACATATGCTACATGGCAAATGAAGGAAATGGATTCATGTGCTTTGCCTATATTCATTCCCATTTAAAAGAAATAAAAGCATAAAGCATGTTATGATTTTCAAAGAATGTTCTTAGTTCTTCTTCTCTGGTATTCTATAGAAGTATATAAACGATCCTGCTCTCTGAGAACAAACAACCTCATATATAAGAAGCAGGAGGCCAAAAAAGAAAGAAAATACAAAGACACAGAATATTGATTGACTGAACCACTAGATTTAAATCAGCCTTTCCTGAACTTTCTTTCATTATAATTCAACACAAATGCTTATTTTTGCAAAAAGAAAAAGTTATTTGAATGTAGGTGTGTTTATTTTAAAAGTTTGGTGTTTTTCTTTGAATAGCAATTTTTAATATACTGATATAACTCAGAATGAAGGTTTAAAAAACAATTTTTAAATGATACACAGAATAACTACAGTATGCTAAGAAAATTAATTTTTTTAAGCCTAGGACTTTCAACAGGATGAAAACAACATAAGTTTGTTTGTACCATGGGATTTTAGGCACAATGAATATACATAGAATTTTATATATGTGCAGGATTATGTGCTGTTGATCAAGATAACTAATTTCTCTGTCTGCCAAGAATTATACTCACTGTAAAAGCAGAAGAAATTTCTCAACCAAAATTGATAAAACACTATAAATGATTTCTGCTCATTTCAACAAGATAAAAGAAAAAGGCATAAATATTGAACATGAAGCTTGAAAATATTTTAAAAGTCAAATTAATACTTTATTTGCAACATAAAATAAAACACCTGGTTATTTCATTGTTCACTGTTGAGACAATAGCAAGTGGCTGATATGGAAAATTTCAGTGAGTTCTTCTAGTAGCCCATCTGTCTGCAGTGTAGCTATTACACAGCTTTTCTTTATTGGCATTTTATGTCAATGTCAAATATGTTTGAGGACTATTTAAGGTTTCATTATTACAAAGTTTCCCAATATTTCTTTGATTTAAAATCTTCTATCATTTGCATGATGCATTTATATGTCAGTAAGATCCTCATTAATTTCATTATTTGACCTAGGGGTATAACAGATGGTTTTTGTTGTTTGTATTTATTTACTTGCTTTCCTGATAGTTTCTTTTAGAAATTATTTAACAAAAATTAAATATTTTAAATGCTTGCTTATTATTACACACATCAGATTTTTTTTTTTTTTTTTTTTGAGACGGAGTCTCGCTCTGTTGCCCAGGCTGGAGTGCTACACCCACCAGAATTTTTAACATAGCTTTTTACTTCAGCAGTTTATAAGTCATGAACAAAACACAAGGAAACATGAACTAATGTTTACTGAATAAAAATTTCTAAAAGTTAGAGATTTTATATGCATTGTAATTCATCACAGTAATACAGGACAGTTTTTATTTTATTCCTGATTCATAGATGATGAAACTGAGTATCAGAGAGGTTAAGAAACTTGCCCAGGATTGTATACAAGAAAAGGTAAGAACCAAGGCAATAGCCCAGATCTATCTAGCTTTAAAGATTACATACTTAATGTAGGCAATACCTTAGTCGATGAAAGAAGAAAAGCCATATGATTTTTTATTTCAATAGGTACAAAAATATTTAATAAAAATTAATAGCTATTTTCAATTGTTTTAAGAAGAACTGTTAGGAAGACTAGAAATAGATTAAAATTTTCACAACCTGATAATGTACATTTATCATAAGCCTACAAAAAACATTACATCAAATGGTAATGAATTCTTTAAAATCAGGAACAAAATAAGGACTTCTATCACCACTTCTATTAAACTTTGTCCATAAAATACCAGTCAGGGAAGTAAGAAAATAAAAATGCATAATAGATGCAAAGATGGAAAAAGAATAAAAAGTGTCAAGGTAAAAAGGAACCTATAGATAAACGAAGAATTAGTAAGGGAGTTCATTAAGTTTACCAGACATACAATCAAGAATCAGAACATTAGTGGCTATTCACAATAGCAAAGACACAGAATTAACCAAAATGCCTATCAATGATAGATTGGATAAAGAAAATGTGGTACATACACACCATGGAATTCTATGCAGCCGTAACAAAGAATGAGATCATATCCTTTTCAGGGACATGAATGGAGCTAGAGGCCATTATCCTTAGCAAGCTAACACAGAAACAGAAACCAAATACTGCAGGTTCTCACTTATAAGTGGGAGCTAAATGATGAGAACACACAGACACATAGAGGGGAACAACACACGTGGGGCCTATCAGAGGGTGGAGGGTAGAGGGTAGAAGGAGGGAGAGGATCAGGAAAAATAACCAGTGGCTACTAGGCTTAATAGCTGGGTGATAACATAATCTGTACGACAAACCCCCGTGACACAGTTTACCTATGTAACACACTTGCACACATACCCCTGAACTTAAAAGTTAAAACAAAAACAAAAAAATCAGTGGCATCTCTATATACTAGCTAAACACAAAATACAATGCTCAAATATATCATTTACTATGACAGTATAAATATACACATAAATTACCTAGGGAAAAATTGACTAAAAATGTTCAACACTTTACACAGAAAATTATGGCACTGTACCAAAATACATCAAAGAAAACTGGATGTATTCATAAATAAATGGAGAAATATATCAAAATCATAGATTTAAAAAGTTGATCTCATATACATGTCAATTCTCTGCAAATCAATCAGTATCATTCCAATAAAAATCCAATCAGATTTTTATAGAATTGTTAAGCTGATTTTAAAATCTATATGGAAATGCAATGACTCAAGAATAACAAGAGAATTTTTGGCCTAGGAAATGTCAAACATTATTAAAAACTAAAATAATTTGAGCATCTTGGCACTGGTATAAAGATAGATAAATTGAACAGAATAGAGCACAGGTCTGCAAACTACAGCCTGGGGGGTAAAATATGTTTTTGTAAATAAATATTTTTTTGGAACATAGCCATACTCATTCATTTACATATTATCTATGGCTGCTTTCCCACTACAAAGGCAGTGTTGAATAGTTACAAAAGAGACCGTAGAATCACATAAATGTATAATAATTGCTATCTGGTCTTTTAACTTAAACATTTTGCATACTCCTAGGATAGAGAGTCCAGAAACAGACCATGTACTCATCAACATATGATAAGTGGGATAAATGTTATTGCAGGTAGGTGGGGGGAAACAGACTTTTCTCAGACCATTTTTAATAGAAAATATAAAAAATTGGTTGTCTATGGACACATTAAACACAATTTTAAATGGATTAAAGACCTGTAATTTATAATAGAAGAGTATCTTCATGAAGCCAGAATAGAAAACAATTCCAAACAAGACTTCAAATCACAAACCATAAAGGGAAAAATTTTGTTAATTTTGACTATATTAAAATTAGTAATCAGAAAGACTACAATGTGCCTTTGCACATGCTGTACTTGCAACTTGAAATTACCTTCTCCTAGATATCTAAAGGTCTAAACTCCTTATATTATGTTCTCTCTGAAGCAAACTCCAGAAGATAGAATTCAGAGCAAGTAGTTTATTTGGGAAGTGATCCCAAGTAGCACAAGTAGATTAGTTCCTTGAACAGGAAAGTGAAGGAAATCAATAAAGTTGTGTAAACGAACAGATTGCTGCTATTGAAAACTGGGGCTCAAGCCTCTTGGAGACCTCTGAGAGACTGTGTGGAACAAAGAAACTGGGGACATTATCCACTAACCTCAGCCAGCATTACTTGAAGGCTATTTCTGGGGATGTTATCACCACAACACTTCTGGTATAACCCATATGTAGACCAAGCACACTCTTGCAACAAGATAATGCTCACACTCAGAGAGTCCTAGTTGCAGTAAGAAGGTGCCAGAAGTACATAAATGGTAATTGCTGAGGGGACATTGATGGGGCATGCTCAGTTGGAGCCTCTGCACAAATATCAGCTCATCAGAGTGGATTTGCCTGACTATCCCATATAAAATAGCATCCCAGTTCTATAGGCGCTATGCTCTTACTCTGCTTTGTATTTATACATCTCTTTGTTTATTTTTAGCTACTTCCACTAGAATACGAATTTCATAGAAACAGATGTTTTAGAAAGTGCTTTATCAGCCGGGCGCGGTTGCTCACGCCTGGAGATCGACACCATCCTGGCTAACACGGTGAAACCCCGTCTCTACTAAAAATACAAAAAATTAGCTGGGCGTGGTGGCGGGCGCAGGTAGTCCCAGCTACTCCGGAAGCTGAGGTGGGAGAATGGCGTGAACCCGGGAGGTGGAGCTTGCAATGAGCCCAGATTGTGGCACAGCACTCCAGCCTGGGCGACAGATTGAGACTCCATCTTAAAAAAAAAAAAAAAAAAGAAAAGAAAAGAAAAGAAAAGAAAGTGCTTTATCTCCCATATCTAGCATAACGTTTGAGACATAGTAGGTTTTATGTGCTGAA
This sequence comes from Homo sapiens, assembly GCF_000001405.40. Classification (NCBI taxonomy): domain Eukaryota; kingdom Metazoa; phylum Chordata; class Mammalia; order Primates; family Hominidae; genus Homo; species Homo sapiens. Next base: position 96,797,988 of record NC_000011.10, on the reverse strand, counting down.
TGTTTATGTCCTCCCAAAATTCATATGTTGAGCCCTAATACTTAATAGATGGTACTTGGGGGTGGGGGCTTTTGGGAAGTGATTAGGTTTAGATGAGGTCATGAAAGTGAGGCTTCCATATCGATCTCTCTCCTCCTGTTTCTCCATGCACCAAGGAAAGGCCTTGTGAGAACATCACGAGGAAAAGGTCTCTCATTAAGAACCCACCCAGTCGGTGGTAATTTGTTATAGCAGCTGGAATTGACTAATAAAATAGGTGTTCAATTACTTTTTGTTAAGTGCATAAATTAGATGCCACTTCATACCCATACAAAGAGCAAAAAGTAAAATCTGAATATATCCGTTATTGTGAGGAGGTTAGGTAAAGAAAATTCTTATACATTGTGGTGGAAGTGTGAAATAATCTAAGAATTTTAAAGACCAATTTGGCAACCTTAAGCATAATGAAAAGTACACTTACCCTAAGACCCAGTTACATTAATGATGTAGCAAAACTCCCATTTCTGGCTTTAATTTGCAGCAATTTCTGCCCATGTGCAGAAGACATATAGAAGGATGTTAATCACAGAGAAATATTGTAAGTCTTTTTTTTAAATCTTGAAAGTCCTTTTATAAATACCAAGTACTATATTTTTGGTGTCTTGAATTTACAAATTCTTCTTTCTCCTCCAACTAATGGAAATACTCTTGGCTCTTGAACAACATGGTTGTGAACTGAAAGGTCCAACTATATGAGAATTTTTTTCAACCGAACGTGGATCGAAAATATGTATTTGTGGGATGCAAAACTTCCACACATGAAGGGCTAACTTTTCATATACGTAGATTTCACAGGGCTGACTGAGGGACTTGAGTATAAGCAGATTTGGGTATACTTAGGGGTCCTGGAACCATTCCCCAAGTATCCTGAGGGGCTGATGTAGATATCATCACAAGAACAACAACTTAGATTTGTAAATTATTTCAGTTTGCAATGCAGTATTCCACTGGATCCTCATAACAATTTAACGGCATTCTTGGTATGAAGGACAGACTGGTAGACACAACCTAGCCTATGTTATCAAGAAGCTTACTCTACAAGGGTTGAATTATCTAGGGAGGAAACTAGGAGTCTATTTTACAGGTAAATAAATGCAATCTCAGAAAGATTAATTGCACTGTCCAATGTTAGTGCCAGTAGATGGCATAGTCAGAATTTAAATATAATTTATCCCACTCCAAATCCATGCTCTTCTCATTGTTGTAAATTAGCTATATTTTAGTAACAGTAAAATAAGCCCTCAAATAATAAAAATATTTAAAGTAATGACGGAACTATTTAAAACTTGCTGGTGATTTCTATACAATTATGGCCAAGTGAGAATCAGAAATCTGTCTTTATAAACTATAAAAGGCTTGGACATTCATGTAAAATAAAGAGACAGAAGCCCAAGTTTTCCACTCATGAAACTGAAAATACATGTAAAAGTATTCTACACTACAGAATGTATGTGTGTGTGCATGTGTGTGCGTGTGTGTGTGTGTTTATGCATAGTTTTTAGTTGGTAATATTTATGCAATATAACTTCCTTTTTCTTTATGTGATGATATCTGAGTAAGTACCAAATTTTTAAAAGGTTAAATTTAAAAAGTAATTACACCATTAAAGAAAACAGGTGTAGCCACAGCTTTTTTTTTTTTTTTTAAGAATCTCTATTTAATTTTAAATGTGAGAGAAGGTAGTTTTATTTTTCTGTAAAGGTCAGTCAAGGATTAGAGGCTTGAGTTGAAATTCAAAAATTTCTTCCAAGATTGAATCTAAGATTTTTTATTTCTGGAGGCACTGGATAAAAACTTTGTTACAATAATTAGTCCAAGGTATCACAGCTAGAAACACTGTCTTGCATTTAATGCCACATAACGTAGCTGCTTTATTAGTACTCTTCAAGAAGGATCACTTGCTATTTCTAGAATGTTTTGAATCTTATAGTCCTCTAAATGTGAAATGTACTAAGTTGAAGCTACATTGCAGTAGAGAAGCAAGGGTAAAGGAGAAGTAGAAAAAAATATAAAATATTTATTTGGGCATCAAAAAACCTCATATTTTCATCCATATCTTTCTTCCATTAGTTCTGTTGCTTTGGATACATTTACTTAAATTTACTAAATTCTATTTTCTCATTTATAAAATTGAAATGACAATACCTAGTTTATCCATAATCAAAGTCTCCTATTAGCATTGGATGAGCTACTATATGTGAATGCATTCTTAATTTATACAAAACTGTTATTATAATAATACAGAAATCACACCCCATAGAACATCTTGTAAATTTTCAGTAAGCTAATGAGTATGAAATTCTATCATTCATTCATGAATGCATTCAATCAACCAATGTTATTGAGCACCTGAAGTATGTTGGATCTCATGTTAGACACCGGAAATTTATAAATCAGGAGAGTATGCCTTCTTGAACCCAAAGTCTAGCATGAGAAAATCAAGCAGATAATAATAAAAAGCTTGCTAAACAGACTGGTTGCTCTGGAAGCACTTAATGCAACTGCAAGATTTCACATAAGAGATGACTGAGCTGAATCTTAAGGAAAAGGTTTAGGCAGGCCAAGAAATAGAGAAGGTCAGTTCACTTGCAGGAAACAACAAACACAAGATGACATGTGGCAAGAGAGACATGGTATCTTCTAAAGAAACCACATAAAATTTAGTGGCACAAAAGGTATCTGTCAAGAAGGAAAAAGAAATAAGCAGGAACTAACTTGTATATCATCTTGCACATTATAAAAATAATTTAAAGCTTTATCTTGAAATGATAAATTGTTACTGAATAATTCTAAAGAAAGAAATGATAATTTCATGTATGATTCTAGTAATTGCACTCTGTGCAGTAGGAAGGATTAGCTGTGCAGGAAGAAACCTGGAGTTTTAAAACCAGTTTAAAGACAACCGTAATAAAGCGAAACATAATGAACTTCTAAACCAAAGTGTTGGCATTGAGAGTAAAGAAAAGAAGTAAAATTATGGAAAAATAAGGAAGAAGAATCAGTAGGGACTAACTGGATTGAGGACTCTTTGCAGAAGAAGGATTTCCGGTTTAAGTATGACCTTTAAAAGTCTCTACCACTACACAAACATCGTAGGCATCACAACTTAGCCAATGATGTGATTTTAAATGTTCTCCCCAGCTGCTGCATCTTAGACTTTTAAAACTTAATAGGTTAACACTACAAGTTGAGGTAGCAATATTAATACTATTTTATTATGAGTCGTTTCTGACACAGAAGCACTTTACATAATCAACAGTACTAAATATACTTAAGGCAGTATTTTGGTTGCTATTTCAATCCAGTTTAATAGTGTGGTAAAATTACTAGCACATAATTGCATGATAAGTATACGTTGAATAAATTCACTATTGACTAAATGCCAATGTTGTAAAACCATTGGTCATTTTTATTCAGACAATTTAATATATGTCCAGCTGGCACCATGTAGACATGATTTTAAAATCCTAATGGCATTTATCACAGTTCCTGCTGATGAGCAAAAGATACCAACTCTGATTGTCTTAAGCGGTATTCACAGAATCAAAGGCAGGCTTAGCAAAGGAGACAGAACTAAGTCAGCTCTGGGGTGAGCCAGCAGGAGGAGTATTCCGTCACTCTAGGTAACTCCTATACTGTGTGCCACTATCCTTGCTTAGCACAACCACTGCCACTGGATACTACTGCTGTATCCCACACTGCCATTGCAGGCTATCCCAAGATTTTGTCCATTCTATTCTCTTTGTATCCTTCACCCAAGGAGACAGGAGAGAGGGAAAGTTCTCTGGGGAGAATTTGATTGGCTGATAAGTCAAATGCTCAAATCCTGACTGGCAGGATTTCTCCTCTCACGTTCTATGGTGGAAGGTGAGGCATTGCATCCCTTCAGAACTACACACAATAGAGATGACTTCACAAATGGGGGAAAGATAATATTGTAGGATGCAAGGAGGTAGTATATAAGGAAGTAGTAGTTATAGGGTGCCATGTATATATATGGGGCACAGGTGTTAGAGTTGGTAGACATTAACAGGACCATAAATCATCCCTGAAGCTTATTGCTTTTGTTTTACCACTAGTCATAGTGGGGTATATTAAGGTATGTATCTGTCTCCTCAAGTGAGTTTCTTTAAATCAGGGAAGATGCATAGATACTTTAAAAAGTTATATTAATTAATACTAATATTAATAATCAATAAAATAACCTGTTTCTCCTGTACTTGATATACAATATGTGCCCCATTTTATATAAGAATTCACGGTTACTTCCAAGACAGCTGAATAGGAACAGCTCCGGGCTACAGCTCCCAGCAAGATCAATGCAAAAGACAGGGGATTTCTGCATTTCCAACTGAGGTACCTGGTTCATCTCATTGGGATTGGTTGGACAGTGGGTGCAGCACACAGAGGACAAGCCGAAGCAGGGTGGGGTGACGCTTCACATGGGAAGTGCAAGGGATCGGAGGATTTCCCTTTTCTAGCCAAGGGAAGCTGTGAGTGACTGTACTTGGAGGAATGGTATGCTCCTGCCCAAATACTGGGCTTTTCCCATGGTCTTTGCAACCAGCAAATGAGGAGATTCCCTCCTGTACCTGGCTCGGCAGGTCCCATGCCCACAGAGTATTGCTCACTGCTAGCGCAGCACTCTGAGACTGACCTGGGACTCTGGAGCTTGGCAGGGGTAGGGGCGTCTGCCATTGCTGAGGCTTGAATAGGCAGTTCTATGCTCATAGTGTAAATAGAGCTGCAGGGAGGCTCAAACTGGGCGGAGCCCACCACAGCTCAGCAAGGCCTACTGCCTCTCTATATTCCACCTCTGAGGGCAGGGCATATCTGAACAAAAGGCAGCAGACAGCTTCTACAGACTTAAAAGTCCCTGCCTGACAGCTCTGAAGAGAGCAGTGGTTCTCCAAGCATGGTGTCTGAGCTCCGATAATAGACAGACTGCCTCCTTAAGTGGGTCTCTGACCCCCATGCAGCATGATTGGGAGATGCCTCCAAGTAGGGGCCGAGAGACACTTCATACAGGTGGGTGCCCCTCTGGGACGAAGCTTCCAGAGGAAGGATCAGACCACAATATTTGCTGTTCTGCAGCCTCCGCTGGTGATACCCAGGCAAACAGTGTCTGGAGTGGACCTCCAGCAAACTCCAACACACCTGCAGCTGAGGGACCTGTCTGTTAGAAGGAAAACTAACAAACAGAAAGGAATAGCATCAATATCAACAAAAAGGACATCCACACCAAAATCCCATCTGTAGGTGACCAACATCAAATACCAAAGGTAGATAAAACCACAAAGATAGGGAGAAACCAGAGCAGAAAGGCTGAAAATTCCAAAAACCAGAATGCCTCTTCTCCTCCAAAGGAACACAACTCGTCGCCAGCAAGGGAACAAAACTGGACAGAGAAAGAGTTTGATGAGTTGACAGAAGTAGGCTTCAGAAGGTCAGTAATAACAAACTTCTCTGAAGCTAAAGGAGCATATTCTAACCCATTGCAAGGAAGCTAAAAACCTTGAAAAAAGTTTAGACTAATGGCTAACTAGAATAACCAGTGTAGAGAAGAGCTTAAATGACCTGATGGAGCTGAAAATCGTGGCATGAGAACTTTGTTAAGCATACACAAACTTCCATAGCCAATTTGATCAAGTGAAAGAAAGGGTATCAAGTGATTGAAGATCATATTAACAAAATAAAGCTAGAAGACGAGATTAGAGAAGAAACGAACAAAGCCTCTAAGAAATATGGGACTATGTGAATAGACCAAATCTACGTTTGACTGGTGTACCTGAAAGTGATGGGGAAGAATGGAACCAAGTTAGAAAACACTCTTCAGGATATTATCCAGGAGAACTTCCCCAATCTAGCAAGGCAGGCCAACATTCAAATTCAGGAAATACAGAGAACACCACAAAGATACTCCTTGAGAATAGCAACCCCAAGACACATAATTGTCAGACTCACCAAAGTTGAAATGAAGGGAAAAATGTTAAGGGCAGCCAGACAGAAAGATCGGGTTACCCAAAAAGGGAAGCCCATCAGACTAACAGTGGATCTCTCGGCAGAAACCCTACAAGCCAGAAGAGAATGGGGGCCAATATTCAACATTCTTAAAGAAAAGAATTTTTTAACCAGAATTTCATATCCAGCCAAATTAAGCTTCATAAGTGAAGGAGAAATAAAATCCTTCACAGACACGCAAATGCTGAGAGATTGTGTCACCACCAGGCTTGTCTTACAAGAGCTCCTGAATGAAGCACTAAACATGGAAAGGAACAACCAGTACCAGCCACTGCAAAAACATGCCAAATTGTAAAGACCATCGACACTGTGAAGAAACTGCATCAATTAATGATGAAATAAACAGCTAGCATCATAATGACAGGATCAAATTCACATATAACAATATTAACCTTAAATGTAAATGGGCTAAATGCTCCAATTAAAAGACACAGACTGCCAAATTGGATAAAGAGTCAAGACCCATCAGTGTGCTGTATTCAGGAGACCTATCTCATGTGCAGAGACACACATAGGCGCAAAATAAAGGGATGGAGGAAGATCTACCAAGCAAATGGAAAGCAAAAAAAAAGCAGGGGTTGCAATACTGATCTCTGATAAAACAGAATTTAAACCAACAAAGATCAAAAGAGATAAAGAAGGCCATTACATAATGGTAAAAGGATCAATGTAACAAGAAGAACTAACTATCCTAAATATATATGCAGCTAACTATCCTAAATATATATATGCACCCAATACAGGAGCACCCAGACTCATAAAGCAAGTGCTTAGAGATCTACAAAGAGACTTAGACTCCCACACAATAATAATGGGAGACTTTAACATTCCACTGTCAATATTAGATAGATCAGTGAGACAGAAAATTAACAAGGATATACAGGACTTCAACTCAGCTCTGGCACAAGCAGACCTAATAGACATCTACAGAACTCTCCACCCCAAATCAACAGAATATACATTCTTCTCAGATTGCACTTATTCTAAAATTGACCACATAATTGGAAGTAAAACCCTCCTCAGCAAATGTAAAAAAAAAAAAACAGAAATCACAACAAACTGTCTCTCAGACCACAGTACAATCAAATTAGAACTCAGGATTAAGAATCTCACTCAAAATCGCACAACTACATAGAAACTGAACAACCTGCTCCTGAATGACTACTGGGTAAATAATGAAAGGAAGGCAGAAATAAAGATGTTCTTTGAAACCAATGAGAACAAAGACACAACATACCAGAATCTCTGGGACACATTTAAAGTAGTGTGTAGAGGGAAATTTATAGCACTAAATGCCCACAAGAGAAAGTGGGAGAGATCTAAAATTGACACCCTAACGTCACAGTAAAAAGAACTAGAGAAGCAAGAGCAAACAAATTCAAAAGCTAGCAGAAGACAAGAAATAACTAAGATCAGAGCAGAATTGAAGGAGAAAGGGACACAAAAAACCCTTCAAATAATCAATGAATTCAGATGCTGGCTTTTTGAAAAGATCTACAAAATAGATAGATCACTAGCAAGACTAATAAAGAAGAAAAGAGAGAAGAATCAAATAGATGTACTAAAAAATGATAAAGGGGATATCATCACTGATCCCACAGAAATACAAACTACCATCAGATAATACTATAAACACCTCTACGCAAATAAACTAGAACATCTAGAAGAAATGGACAAATTTCTGAACAAATACACCCTCCCAAGACTAAACCTAGAAGAAGCTGAATCTCTGAATAGACCAATAACAGGTTCTGAAAAGGAGAAAATAATTAACAGCCTACCAACCAAAAAAAGTTCAGGACCAGACGGATTCACAGCCAAATTCTACCAGAGGTACAAAGAGGAGCTGATACTATTCCTTTTGAAACTATTCTGATAAATAGAAAAATAGGGAATCCTCTCTAACTCATTTTATGAGGCCAGCATCATCCTGATATCAAAGCCTGGCAGAGACACAACAAAAAACGAAAACTTTAGGGCAATATCCCTGATGAACATCGATGCAAAAATTCTCAATAAAATACTGGCAAACCAAATCCAGCAGCACATCAAAAAATTTATCCACCACAATCAAGTCGACTTTATCCCTGGGATGCAAGGCTGTTTCAACATATGCAAATCAATAAACATAATCCATCACATAAACAGAACCAATGACAAAAACCATATGATTATCTCAATAGATGCAGAAAAGGCCTTCAACAAAATTCAACAGCCTTTCATGCTAAAAACTCTCAATAAACTAGGTATCAATGGAACATATCTCAAAATATGTTCCATTTTGAGCTATTTATGACAAACCCACAGCCAATATCATACTGAATGGGCAAAAACTGGAAGCATTTTCTTTGAAAACTAGCAAAAGGCAAGGATGCCCTCTCTCACCACTCCTATTCAACATAGTATTGGAAGTTCTGGCCAGGGCAATCAGGCAAGAGAAAGCAATGAAGGATATTCAAATAGGAACAGAGAAAGTCAAATTGTCTCTTTTTGCATATGACATGATTGTATATTTAGAAAACTCCATTGTCTCAGTCCAAAATCTCCTTACACTGATAAGCAACTTCAGCAACATCTCAGGATACAAAATCAATATGCAAAAATCACAAGCATTCCTATACACAAATAACAGACAGAGAGCCAAATCATGAGTGAACTCCCATTCACAATTGCTACTAAGAGAATAAAATACCTAGGAATACAACTTGCAAGGGATGTGAAGGATCTCTTCAAGGAGAACTACAAACCACTGCTCAATGAAATAATAGAGGACACAAACAAATGAAAAAACATTCCATGCTCATGGATAGAAAGAAACAATATTGTGAAAATGGCCTAACTGCCCAAAGTAATTTACAGATTCAATGCTATCCCTGTCGAGCTACCACCGACTTTCTTCACAGAATTGGAAAAAACTACTCTAAACTTCCTATGGAACCAAAAAAAGCCCACATAGCCAAGACAATCCTGGGCAAGAAGAACAAACCTGGAGGTATCATGCTACCTGACTTCAAACTATAGTACAAGGCTACAGTAAGCAAAACAGCATGGTACTGGTACCAAAACAGATATATAGACCAATGGAACAGAATAGAGGCCTCAGAAGTAACACCACACATCTACCACCATCTGATCTTTGACAAGCCTGACACACACAAGCAATGGGGAAAAGATTCCCTATTTAATAAATGATGTTGGGAAAACTGGCTAGTCATATGCAGAAAACTGAAACTGGACCCCCTCCTTACACCTTATACAAAAATCTACTCAAGATGGATCAAAGACTTAAATGTAAGACCTAGGACCATAAAAATCCTAGAAGAAAAACTGGGCAATACCATTCAGGACATAGGCATGGGAAAGACTTCATGTCTAAAACACTAAAAGCAATGGAAACAAAAGCCAAAATTGACAAAAGGGATCTAATTAAACTAAAGAGTTTCTGCACAGCAAAAGAAACTACCATCAGAGTGAACAGGCAACCTACAGAATGGGACAAAATTTTTGCAATCTATCCATCTGACAAAGGGCTAATATCCAGAATCTACAAATAACCTAAACAAATTTACAAGAATAAAGCAAACAACCCCATCAAAAACTGGGCAAAGGATATGAACAGGTAATTCTCAAAAGAAGACATTTATGCAGCCAACAGACATACGAAAAAATGCTCATCATCACTGGTCATTAGAGTTATGTAAATCAAAACCACAATGAGATATCATCTCACACCAGTTAGAATGGCAACCATTAAAAATTCAGGAAACAACAGATACTGGAGAGGTTGTGGAAAAATAGGAACGCTTTTACAATGTTGGTGGGAGTGTAAATTAGTTCAACCATTGTGGAAGACAGTGTGGCAATTCCTCAAGGATCTAGAACTGGAAACACCATTTCACCCAGCAATCCCATTACTGGGCATATACCCAAAGGATTATAAATCATTCTGTGATAAAGACACATGCACACATATGTTTATTGCGGCACTATTCACAATAGCAAAGACTTGGATCAAACCCAAATGTCCATCAATAATCGACTGGATAAAGAAAATGTGGCACATATACACCTGGGAATACTATGCAGCCATAATAAAGGATGAGTTCATGTCCTTTGCAGGGACATGGATGAAGCTGGAAACCATCATTCTCAGCAAACTGTCACAAGATCAGAAAACCAAACACCGCATGTTCTCACTCATAAATGGGAGATGAACAATGAGAACACATGGACAGAGGGACAGGATCATCACACACTGTGGCCTGTGGGGGTGGGTGGGTAGGTGAGGGATAACATTAGAAGAAACACCTAATGTAGGTGCCGGGTTGATAGGTACAGCAAACCACCAAGGCACGTGTATACCTATGTAACAAAACTGCACATTCTGCACATGTAACCCAGAACTTAAAGTATAATTTTTAAAAAAAGAATTCAGATATATACGATTTTAAGATGTTTTGGCATTTTCTATCCGATTAGTTTTATAAGATCCTACAATAACTCATCAAAAGAGGCTTAAGAAAATTGAATAATTTTATTTTATGAATTCCAAATAATTTACATCCCAAAATATCTTTGCATCACGAACTTCCAGAAATCTCAATATATGAACCCCATATTGAAATTTTACCTGGCAATCATTTGAGTCTTAACATTGGAAGCTGATATTTTCTTCCTTTAGCTCTGATAAGGCTTCACTGGGCTCCTTTTTTTAAATTTTTTTATTATTATACTTCAAGTTCTAGGGTACCTTTTATTGTTTATTTGTTGTTGTTTTTAATTGAAATGCATCGCCCTTACCTCTCAGTAGCGCTCTTTATAAATTGTCTGTTGTTCTTTATTTGTGGTTTGTTTAAAAGGAAACAGATTCAAATCATATTTGAGAGCTGAAAGTTCAGCCAAGAATTCAATTATGTAAATTAGAAAACAAATGCCAGTGAAAAGAAAACTAACCACTCCAGTGTTCCTTAACTCAGGTGGGGGCTAGGGGGAAGAGGTAAATAAGGAGAGGAAAAGAGCTTTGCTCTAGCACTGAGAGGAAGATAAAGATTTTTTCCATTCAGTCTTATAGCAAGTAAAGACCATCATCTATGGTATCTTCCATCCTAAACATATCTGCATCCAATCATTTGAGCCAGTGAACTGCAAGCATGCTTTATACTCTCAGGTGGCTGTGCTTCACAAAGGGCCCTGTCCTCTCATTTGTGTGGGTATAGATCTGTACCACTGAACAAACAACACAAGGCAGTAAGCAGTCAATGTATCCTGGGGAGCGGGGAGGGTTTGAAACATAGACAACTGGATGCTTTGGCTTTGGTACACAGGCTAGAGGGTTTATTTCAATGAATGCACACCTTCAGATTGTAAAAGATCCTTGGAAAATTAGTTCTGGAAGGAACCTTAGAGATACTTATTTTTTCTTTTCTTTTGTTTTAGTATTGGCTTCTACAGATTCTATGAGAGTGTATAAATGTGTCTCAGGGCTGCTTCAGGGGATGGAAACAAAGTAAGCTGGACTCAGGGGTCCTCATCACCTTACCTTAGCCAATACAGCATTTCTTTTATCTGTTGATCACTTTTCCCACTTAATTTAAGAATGCATTTCTCTGTTAAGAAATGGTTTTTAAAATCACCAGTCTAGTTCAAGTAAATACTTCATTTTACACTTAAAGAGGCCAGAAAGATTAAGTTAGTAGACCAAGGTCACACAGCAGGTATTAATAGAGCTGAGTCTAAAATCCTATGCCCCTTTCCTAATGTGTGTGTTTACCACCAGGTCACATTATTGATCTTTTATTCAATTCACTAAGTTCTAGACTTTCCATCCTTGATAGCCAGTCAAAGCACTCCCAGCACACAAAATTTCAAAAAGAGATTTTGAACTCAGTGATTGTAACCCAAAGAAAATAACAGAATAATTGATAAATGTATAATTATTAGTAATTTTCAAAGGATGTATCGACATGTATGAAACTCTTTTGTTAAAATAAGCCCCAATGGCTCTCAAGTTTGCCTCAGTGATACTCTAGGGAGAGCTTTATAAAGAATGGGACATTTCGAAGAATAAAGAATGGGTAATTAAAAGAAAGGCAGTTGCCGACAGAGGAAAGAGCATGCAAAGATAGGTAAGCATATTAAGTACATTGATGTATTTATAAATGAGAAAATAAATTCTATTCAGTAACTCAACAAGATAAATATGTGTTCAGAGGACATGGACAGATGCTATGAAATACAGTACGTGATTCATATAAGTTAAGATACTATCTTACTGAACTAATGCTGACATATAAGGAAATGGTAAACTCCCAGAATGCTTTTTTTGCATTCAGATTAACAGCTGTGGTCTTGCTGCATAGGAAAATGTTTAAGTGAGCTTTTGGAGACTATGTTATTTCCTTAGTATAACCATAAGGACTATAAGCCATTTGCCACCCTCGAGAACAGTTTATGCCTCTGTCCTCTCTAAATAGCATGAATATTTTACTACTAGCTCCCGCCAGTCTGGTTCATCTCAATAACTGATGAACCGAAGTAACCATGCCACTCAATTTTAGTCAATCAGGCTCTATTTTCATCCCTGCAGGTCACATTTGCTTTATTTAATGCAGCTGTGTTGAATCAGCTGAAATGCAAAACATTCAATGGAAGCCTTAAGCATGTGACTAGAGCTTCACATAAATATCTCTAACTCGAAGCTTTAATATAAAGCATTGCGCATACACACACATTCAATCAGTAAACAGGTTAGAAGCACTGCTCAAGTAGATAACAGTTGTCTGTGTGGTGAATTAACACTGCTCTTTATTCTGATTAAGGGCAATCCTAGAGAAATCATAGCATTTTATCACAGATTCTCCTTTTTTTAGGTAAATGATTACAAGCTAAAAAACAGTCCTGGCTAATAAAAATAAAGAACCTAACTTTAGGGTCCTTCCAGTTTTCCTCACTAGAACTATGCCAAATCCAATAACTAATCATCTAAAATAACTGAGGAAATAAGCAGAAAAAAAATCTAATGACCTATAAGAATATTCTAGTAGTTTAACATATTGCAGTTGCTTAAATTATTAATACTTGTGTGTCCTGAGCCCATATACTGAAATTAAAAAGCATTGCCATGACATGGAGGGTGAAAAACAAAACCTAACATAGAAGATCCACATGAGACTTTTTTTGATCAAGCAGTTAGGATTATCAGCCCTCTGATATCAAACTGGGGCATGGTGGTAGCACAGCCAAAAAGCCAACTCTAACAGAGTGGGAGGTGGATCCAGAGTACAGGACTAAGAGGAAACTAATTTAGTAGAAGCCAAGAAGAACAACATCCAGAGACAGTGATAAATTTGATATATGTCTAAAAGAGATAAGAGGGGACTTTGTGGTTTTTGCACTTTGTTATTGATCTGCTAGCTGGGCTATTGTGCCTGGTAATAATATATTATTTCTCCAGCTTCAGACTTAAAATGTGATAGTAAAAATTAATAGAGTAAAGACTATTTTTCTCCTTTCTTGTGCATTTTTACTATACTACATTTGTCATGAGAATAGTAAGAAGTTACACACATTAAACAGCTCTCTTATGAGCTATGATGATTAGTAGTTTGAGCATCAGCAAAAGGGTGTGGATAATCCTAACAATTCAGTAGAGAGCCTTAGACTATTCTCTTGAATTCTAAGCACCCTTAACTCCATGAATTTGTGATGTGAACGTAGGCTTTGGAGTCAGACAGAGAAAACTTAGGCAAGTTATTTAACCCCACTGATCTCCTCATAAAACGGAAATAATGAGATAGAACTCATAGGGTCATTGGGTGGATTATAATAATGGAATGTTGCAGAGAAAGTCCTTAACAAGTACCTGACACAAAATAGTATTCATCAATATTCCTTAAAGGAGCAGATCGTAATGAATAAGTTTAAATCAGTGTTCTAAACCCTGGCTTGCATCAGAATCAACTGTGGAACAATTTTACAATAGAGATGCCAAACCCTATCTTAAGAGATATTTATTCAGTATGCACAGTACAGTCTTTCCTATTTAAGAACTCCATGGGTGAGCCCTATGTCCAGCCAGCACTGATAGTCACTCATAAAAGTATTTTTCATAGCCAAATAACTTGAAAAGTTGAAAATGAAGAGGACTTTTATAAAGAGTCAGCAACTCTTCTGCCTTTTTGCCTATTGCCATCCACTATTGTTTACACCATATAGAAAAGGCTGTATATATACAGATAGATGCTATGATTCTATAATTTACATATAATTGCATGACACAAAGGGATATTTCTAAGAATAAGACAAATTATTTGAAAAATCTTCCAGGGAACTAAGCAAGTACATCTCTACATGACTCTGAGCATTGTTAGGTCTGGTTGGAATGCCGTCCAAGATGAAAAAAAAAACAGGAGCCTGAACTCAGACCATCTGGCCTGTGCTTCTGCCTTGGATTCTAGAGTTGTAAAATATGATGGTGCGAATTATTCATGCATACCCAACACACGCTGCCTCTCTCCTCCTGCATGACCCTCCCATTATGTTTCAGAATAGCATCTGGAGCCTGACCAAGTTCATAACCATGATCCAGGTAAAGGGAAGCCAAAATTGAAAGGAATCCAACTGTGAATCAATATTAAGCTATATGCCGCCAAGCCTCTTAGACTACAACAATGGAACCTATAAGAGCTTACCTAGTTCAGGATAGTTGACCTGGACAGGAGAACTTGGAGCAGCTGAGATCAACTCTGTGATTCAAACCTGAATCAAGAGATATTCAAACAGATTAGGGTAACACTTATATTTTTCTTCTGTGTATTATTTTACCACATTAAATGAAGGAAACATTTCAATTTGTTAAATATTACTCTTTTTGGATGCTATTAGGAAAAACATTTGATGAAACCACTAACATAAACATGTCAAAACCAACCTGTCAGTGCCTTATTAATGTTCTCTATTCAATTATTAATAAGAAAAATAGCAGCAATAATTATACAATGTTTACTATGTGTCAGATGCTGTTTCAAGTGCTATTTACACATTGACTCAATCTTACTGACCACTTTATGATGTAGACAATGTTTTACACCCCTAGGTGGTACGTCACCCAGATTCTCCTTAAGGAAGGAGGACATTCCCCTGGCTCCTGGGAGTGCTGCTGGAAGTTGGCCTACAGCTTTCAGATGGATGGATCAGGCAGCCCTGATCCAATGATTAATCATCATGTGGGTGTCAAGTCTGACCCTCTTGTCCCAAGTCAGGAAAACTGCGAGGCTATCCCAGTTTTAGATCTCTTCATGGGGTTATCTGATGACTTCCTCGGAATTCCATCATAGCTCAACTTCTCCCTCTGCCCTATCCTGCTTCCCACCCTTTCTACCCACATTCTGAAGAGGACTCCATAATAAATGTCCTGCACCCTAATCTCTGTTTCAGAGTCTGCTTCCCATGGAATGCAACCTGCAACAAGTCACTTAGGCAATTTGATCATCTTGAAAATCTCTCAGAAACAGGTGTCATACTCTAATATGTCAGTAACACATTCTAACTCAGCGTTTCTCATCTCTCTACTTCTCACTCCATTTTAAGCATATCACTTCATCTTTTACTACCTCTGTGTTTATTGGTCTCACATTCAGAACTCCTAATATCTGACTGGTTACTTAGTTATCATCCAACAAGGTTTTTCTCTATAAATAGACTACATCTTAGAGAGTCTGGATTCCCTATTTCTAGCCTGTAAGTAATTGCTGATGCTTAGAATTCATATTTCTCAGTCCAGTATATCCTGGCCAGGTTAACAGGAACATAAACAAGACAACTGAGAATCTATGTCTAAGTAACTATCCTTAGCTACTTAGTGCAAAGAAAAGACTTTAGATGTAACAGGCATTGAGATTTTCGTGAGTTCCCTATTTTTTTTTTAATTTTGAGATTGTAATGTGATTTTTATTGTTTTCCACCAATCTTCCAAATTCCAAATAATTATAAAGTATAAAATTCTGCATAATCTCTTCCATTGACTCCTGTTGTTTTTCCACCCAGTTCCCTGCCTTCTGCTGAATCTTCTTTGGGTGAAACTACTTCTCACTCATTTGTCAGCCATATGGTAGTGGTTGGGCCACCACGTTATTATATTATCCCATCTCCCCGGCTACATTGATGACAAAGGGGTGATCTCTGGGAAGCCAATAAGATTCCTCTTCTGCATTCTCCTAGCTGGAACTGAGAAAGAACATTATTGCAGCTCTAACATAGAGCCATCAGCCAACAAATTCGTCAACTTGTGGAGCTTACTAGTTTGTTATGCGAGAGACTAGAACCCAAGAAAACAAGAGAAAGTATCAAAGATGATGACCCTAATTCCAGTTGTTTCTATGGTCCAACTCTGGCTCTCTTTTCAAAGTTTATTTATTCAACTTTGCTTTCATTAACACTCCCATTACCTGTAGGATTAATTCCAAGCTCCTTACTATGATATATACAAAGTCTTTCACAACATTAATCTAACCTACTACAGTCTAACTTCATCTTTACAAACTACATGTGCTCTATCCTTCCCTCCACCATACTCAGTGTTACAGTGATATTATAAAGTGCCTGAATGGTGATTCGGGACATAACACACACTGTGCCTTTTTGGAAAAACACTCCCCAATTCCTCCTGTCAGGATTAGTCATTAATTCTTCATGTCCTAATGACCCCATCATCATTCATTTGTAGTTCTGTGTCCTCTACTATTTTATGAGTCATAGAAAGTGTGAAGGTAATGTTAAATCTGAATGGAAGAAAAATCACAAGGAAAAGATGTCTTGTATATATTATCTCACAGGCTCTAAGGATAAGCAAAAGATACATAGAGTTTTTTTCAATTTGTGCAAAGGCACCAATAATAGAAAAATGCTTAAACTAATACTAAAAATAACACCTACAATAGTTCAAATGTTTTTTCATGGCAAAGAGCTGCTTCATATCTACTGTGACAATTCCAGTTTCTATCAAGGCAGTCACTTGGGACAACTGCTTATTGATATCATGCTTTCTCCCAAATGTTTATTTTGTTTTGTTTTCTTATGTTTACTTTATGATTAATTTGTATTACTTTCTTTGGTCTCCTAAGGTGAAAGCTTAGGTTATTGAGTTTAGATTTCTTTTTCTAACATGCATTTAAAGCTATAACTTTTTCTGTAAGAACTTGATTTCTCAATATCCACAAAATTTAAGTTGTATTTTCTTTTACATTTATTTTTAATTTCATTTGAGACATCTTATTTGACACAGGTGTTTAGAAGTGTTCTGTTTAACCTCCAAGGATTTGTGCATTCTTCAAGTATCTTCTGTTTTGGTTTCTGGTATAACTTTAATGTGGACTGAGATTATTTCCATTTTTAAAAATTTACTAAGGTGTATTTATAGCCCAGAATGTACTCTATCTTTGTGAATGTCCTACACAAGCTTCAGAAGTATGTGTATCCTACTGTTGTTGAGTGGAGTATTTTACAGATGCCAACTGAAGCAAGTTGACTGATGCTGTATGTCTCTATATGCTTCCTGACTTTCTGCTTGCCTGATCTATCAATCATTGATAATGGGGTGCTGAAATCTCCAACTATACTAGTGGGTTTGTCTATTTCTTCTTTTAGTCTACAGTTTTTGCCCCCACGTATTTTGATGATGCATTGTTAGGTGCAAACAGCTAGGATTATTATGTCTTCTTGTAAAATTGACCGCTTATTATTATAATGCCTCTCTCTTTCCCTGATAATCTTTCTTTTTCTGAAATAGGCTTTGTCTGAAATTTATATAGCTACTCCAACTTTCTTTTGATTAGTATTAGAATGATATAGCTTTCTCCATCTCTTTTTTTTTAACCATCTGAATCGTTATATCTTAAGTAGCTTTCTTTTAAATAATATATACTTGGTCTTTTCTTATATCCATGTTTAAAATCTGCCTTTAGACCATCTATACTGCAAGCGATTGTTGATATATTTGAATTAATATTTACCATGTTTGCAACTATTTTCTACTGGTTGCATTTTGTTCTTTTTTTTCCCTCTCTTATCCAATTTAGTTTGGTTTGATTGAACATTTAGTTGAATGTTTAATTAGTATGTGTGTATGAATTATAATTCTTTGTGAAAATTTCTGAATAATTTCCTTACAGTTTACAATATGAATTTTTCATTCATCAAATTCACCTTCAACTAACATTATACCACTTTACTTGTAGCATAGTTCCTCTCTCCCATCCCTTGTGACATTGCTGCCACTCATTTCACTTACTCACATGCTTTAGCACACAATACAACATTACTATGATTACTTTCAACAGTTTTCTTTAGAGCTGTTAAGAATAAGTGAAATGTTTTGTTTTGCCATTATTTATTCTTTCTCTGTCATGCTTCCTTTTCCTAGATCCATATCATTTTTCTTCTCCATGAATAACTTATTTTAACCTATCTTTCAGGGTTGTCTGCTAGGGATGAATTCCCTCAGAATTTGTTTGTCAAGGAAAAGTCTTTATTTCACTTCCATTTTGGAGGATAATTTCAGGAGATACAGAATTTTAGGTTGGTGGACTTTTTCTTTCAACACTTTAAATATTTCACTCCAGTCTATTCTTCTTCATGATTTCTGATAAGAAATCCATGTTTTTCATAGATAAGGTTCACCACCAACATTATGACATCATCAAGATTTCCTCCTTTTAACTTGGTTTTCTGTAGTTTGAATATGATATGTCCAGGTATGACTTTCTTTGGTATTTATCCTGTTTGGTGCTCTCTGAACTTCTAGAATCTTTAGTTTGGTATCTATTAGTCATTTTGGAAAGTTCTCAGGCATTATAACTCCAAATATTTTTTGTCCTTCATCTTCCCTTTTTCCTCCTTCTGATATTTCAATTATGATCATGCTATATCTTTTGGATTGCCCCATTGTTCTTGATATTCTGCTCTGTTTTACTCATTCTATTTCTCTTGGCTTCACAGTTAGGGGTATTTCTATTTGCCCTATCTTCAAGTTACTGATTCTTTCCTTAACCATTTTCCAGACTATGATCAACCAACCAATGGCATTCTTCATTTTGTTTACACTGTTTTTGGTTTGAAGCACTTCCTTTTGATTCTTTTTAGAGTTTCCCTCACTCTGTTTTCACTACCAATCTCTTCCTGCATCCTGTCTGCTTTTTCTGTTAGAACCCTTAACATATTAAATACATCATTATTTTAAATAGCCTGTCTTCCAAAATCTGTGTCCTATCTATATCTGGTTCTGATGATGGCTTTGTCTCTTAAGACTGTGTTTTTAATTGTCTTTTGGAATGCATTAAAATTTTTTGCCATTGTTGAAAACCATACATGTTGGAATGAGTAACAGGAGCTGAAGTAAAGTGATCTTTCAGATAAGGGATTGTGTTAACCTGGGTAGGAGGTGGGCTGTGTTTAATGTTTGCTATAGCTGTAAGTGCCAGAGGCTTCAAATTCCTCTAGTGCCTTTGTTTTGTCTCTTCTCTTGACTTCAGGCTTCCTTAAGTCACTGTCTTGTGGGAAAGTCTGTATTTCTCAGCTTTTTCAGATGATATCCACTGTTGTAGTACACTGTTGTTGGTATGTAGTAGCAATCTTATACCCTTATATCAGTATTTTTGTGAATCTGTGTCTTGGAGTTTTGATCTTAACAACGTTTCTCCAGTACAATAGATTTTCCACTTGCCTCCTACTTCTATCTCTGACTACAATGTTTCCAGGATTTTTTTTTTTAATTTCTAACTCCTGTTTACTATATTTCTTTCTTCCTGCCTCAGGTGAAAAAGGAAGGCTGGAAGTTCCTGGAATGGAAGGAAATCCCTCCCTAAACTGGGATAAATCTTTAGCAAAATCATTTTCCCTGGAGAGTGGGCATTTTTTATGGAGAAGTCTTTAGACATATTTTATAAGGATAATAGTTGTCCCTCAGTATCCATGAATTCTGCATCCCTGGATTCAACCAATCATGGATTGAATATATTTGGAAAAAAAATAAGGATAATTATCTGTAGTAAACATGTACAGACTTTTTTCCTTGTCATTATTCCCTAAATGATACAGTATAACAAGTGTTGAGCGGGGGAGGAGCCAAGATGGCCGAATAGGAACAGCTCCGGTCTACAGCTCCCAGCGTGAGCGACGCAGAAGACGGTGATTTCTGCATTTCCATCTGAGGTACCGGGTTCATCTCACTAGGGAGTGCCAGACAGTGGGCGCAGTTAAGTGGGTGCGCGCAACGTGCGCGAGCCGAAGCAGGGTGAGGCATTGCCTCACTTGGGAAGCGCAAGAGGTCAGGGAGTTCCCTTTCCCAGTCAAAGAAAGGGGTGACGGACGCACCTGGAAAATCGGGTCACTCCCACCCGAATATTGCGCTTTTCGGACCAGCTTAAAAAAACGGCGCACCACAAGATTATATCCCGCACCTGGCTCGGAGGGTCCTACACCCATGGAGTCTCACTGATTGCTAGCACAGCAGTCTGAGATCAAACTGCAAGGTGGCAGCGAGGCTGGGGGAGGGGTGCCCACCAATGCCCAGGCTTGCTTAGGTAAACAAAGCAGCCAGGAAGCTCGAACTGGGTGGAAGCCACCACAGCTCAAGGAGGCCTGCCTGCCTCTGTAGGCTCCACCTCTGGGGGCAGGGCACAGACAAACAAAAAGACAGCAGTAACCTCTGCAGACTTAAATGTCCCTGTCTGACAGCTTTGAAGAGAGCAGTGGTTCTCCCAGCACGCAGCTGGAGATCTGAGAACGGGCAGACTGCCTCCTCAAGTGTGTCCCTGACCCCTGACCCCCGAGCAGCCTAACTGGGTGGCATCCCCCAGCAGGGACACACTGACACCTCACACGGCAGGGTATTCCAACAGACTTGCAGCTGAGGGTCCTGTCTGTTAGAAGGAAAACTAACAAACAGAAAGGACATCCACACTAAAAACCCATCTGTACATCACCATCATCAAAGACCAAAAGTAGATAAAACCACAAAGATGGGGAAAAAACAGAACAGAAAAACTGGAAACTCTAAAACACAGAGCACCTCTCCTCCTCCAAAGGAACGCAGTTCCTCACCAGCAAAGGAACAAAGCTGGATGGAGAATGACTTTGATGAGCTGAGAGAAGAAGGCTTCAGACGATCCAATTACTCTGAGCTATGGGAGGACATTCAAACCAAAGGCAAAGAAGTTGAAAACTTTGAAAAAAATTTAGAAGGATGTATAACTAGAATAACCAATACAGAGAAGTGCTTAAAGGAGCTGATGGAGCTGAAAACCAAGGCTCGAGAACTACCTGAAGAATGCAGAAGCCTCAGGAGCCGACGTGATCAACTGGAAGAAAGGGTATCAGCAATGGAAGATGAAATGAGTGAAATGAAGTGAGAAGGGAAGTTTAGAGAAAAAAGAATAAAAAGAAATGAGCAAAGCCTCCAAGAAATATGGGACTATGTGAAAAGACCAAATCTACGTCTGATTGGTGTACCTGAAAGTGATGGGGAGAATGGAACCAAGTTGGAAAACACTCTGCAGGATATTATCCAGGAGAACTTCCCCAATCTAGCAAGGCAGGCCAACGTTCAGATTCAGGAAATACAGAGAACGCCACAAAGATACTCCTCGAGAAGAGCAACTCCAAGACACATAATTGTCAGATTCACCAAAGTTGAAATGAAGGAAAAAATGTTAAGGGCAGCCACAGAGAAAGGTCAGGTTACCCTCAAAGGGAAACCCATCAGACTAACAGCGGATCTCTCGGCAGAAACCCTACAAGCCAGAAGAGAGTGGGGGCCAATATTCAACATTCTCAAAGAAAAGAACTTTCAACCCAGAATTTCATATCCAGCCAAACTAAGCTTCATAAGTGAAGGAGAAATAAAACACTTCACAGACACGCAAATGCTGAGAGATTCTGTCACCACCAGGCCTGCCCTAAAAGAGCTCCTGAAGGAAGCGCTAAACATGGAAAGGAACAACTGGTACCAGCCGCTGCAAAATCATGCCAAAATGTAAAGACCATCGAGACTAGGAAGAAACTGCATCAACTAAAGAGCAAAATCACCAGCTAACATCATAATGACAGGATCAAATTCACACATAACAATATTAACT
The DNA here is from genome assembly GCF_000001405.40 of Homo sapiens. Taxonomy (NCBI): domain Eukaryota; kingdom Metazoa; phylum Chordata; class Mammalia; order Primates; family Hominidae; genus Homo; species Homo sapiens. The sequence goes on along the minus strand of NC_000011.10, from coordinate 96,775,798 downwards.
TTAAATGTAAATGGACTAAATGCTCCAATTAAAAGACACAGACTGGCAAGTTGGATAGAGTCAAGACCCATCAGTGTGCTGTATTCAGGAAACCCACCTCACAGGCAGAGACACACATAGGCTCAAAATAAAAGGATGGAGGAAGATCTATCAAGCAAATGGAAAACAAAAAAAGGCAGGGGTTGCAATCCTAGTCTCTGATAAAACAGACTTTAAACCAACAAAGATCAAAAGAGACAAAGAAGGCCATTACATAATGGTAAAGGGATCAATTCAACAAGAAGAGCTAACTATCCTAAATATATATGCACCCAATACAGGAGCACCCAGATTCATAAAGCAAGTCCTGAGAGACCTACAAAGAGACTTAGACTCCCACACATTAATAATGGGAGACTTTAACACCCCACTGTCAACATTAGACAGATCAACGAGACAGAAAGTCAACAAGGATACCCAGGAATTGAACTCAGCTCTGCACCAAGCGGACCTAATAGACATCTACAGAACTCTCCACCCCAAATCAACAGAATATACATTTTTTTCAGCACCACACCACACCTATTTCAAAATTGACCACATACTTGGAAGTAAAGCTCTCCTCAGCAAATGTAAAAGAACAGAGATTATAACAAACTATCTCTCAGACCACAGTGTAATCAAACTAGAACTCAGGATTAAGAATCTCACTCAAAACCGCTCAACTACATGGAAACTGAACAACCTGCTCCTGAATGACTACTGGATACATAACGAAATGAAGGCAGAAATAAAGATGTTCTTTGAAACCAATGAGAACAAAGACACAACATACCAGAATCTCTGGGACGCATTCAAAGCAGTGTGTAGAGGGAAATTTATAGCACTAAATGCCCACAAGAGAAAGCAGGAAAGATCCAAAATTGACACCCTAACATCACAATTAAAAGAACTAGAAAAGCAAGAGCAAACACATTCAAAAGCTAGCAGAAGGCAAGAAATAACTAAAATCAGAGCAGAACTGAAGGAAATAGAGACACAAAAGACCCTTCAAAAAATTAATGAATCCAGGAGCTGGTTTTTTGAAAGGATCAACAACATTGATAGACCACTAGCAAGACTAATAAAGAAAAAAAGAGAGAAGAATCAAATAGACACAATGAAAAATGATAAAGGGGATATCACCACTGATCCCACAGAAATACAAACTACCATCAGAAAATACTACAAACACCTCTACACAAATAAACTAGAAAATCTAGAAGAAATGGATAAATTCCTCGACACATACACTCTCCCAAGACTAAACCAGGAAGAAGTTGCATCTCTGAATAGACCAATAACGGGAGCTGAAATTGTGGCAATAATCAATACTTTACCAACCAAAAAGAGTCCAGGACCAGATGGATTCACAGCCGAATTCTACCAGAGGTACAAGGAGGAACTGGTACCATTCCTTCTGAAAGTATTCCAATCAATAGAAAAAGAGGGAATCCTCCCTAACTCATTTTATGAGGCCAGCATCATTCTGATACCAAAGCCGGGCAGAGACACAACCAAAAAAGAGAATTTTAGACCAATATCCTTGATGAACATTGATGCAAAAATCTTCAATAAAATACTGGCAGAACGAATCCAGCAGCACATCAAAAAGCTTATCCACCATGATCAAGTGGGCTTCATCACTGGGATGCAAGGCTGGTTCCATATACGCAAATCAATAAATGTAATCCAGCATATAAACAGAGCCAAAGATAAAAACCACACGATTATCTCAATAGATGCAGAAAAAGCCTTTGACAAAATTCAACAACCCTTCATGCTAAAAACTCTCAATAAATTAGGTATTGATGGGACGTATTTCAAAATAATAAGAGCTATCTATGACAAACCCACAGCCAATATCATACTGAATGGGCAAAAACTGGGAGCATTCCCTTTGAAAACTGGCACAAGACAGGGATGCCCTCTCTCACCACTCCTATTCAACATAGTGTTGGAAGTTCTGGCCAGGGCAATTAGGCAGGAGAAGGAAATAAAGGGTATTCAATTAGGAAAAGAGGAAGTCAAATTGTCCCTGTTTGCAGATGACATGATTGGATATCTAGAAAACCCCATTGTCTCAGCCCAAAATCTCCTTAAGCTGATAAGCAACTTCAGCAGTCTCAGGATACAAAATCAATGTACAAAAATCACAAGCATTCTTATACACAAATAACAGACAAACAGAGAGCCAAATCATGAGTGAACTCCCATTCACAATTGCTTCAAAGAGAATAAAATACCTCGGAATCCAACTTACAAGGGATGTGAAGGACCTCTTCAAGGAGAACTACAAACCACTGCTCAAGGAAATAAAAGAGGATACAAACAAATGGAAGAACATTCCATGCTCATGGGTAGGAAGAATCAATATCGTGAAAATGGCCATACTGCCCAAGGTAATTTACAGATTCAATGCCATCCCCATAAAGCTACCAATGACTTTCTTCACAGAATTGGAAAAAACTACTTTAAAGTTCATATGGAACCAAAATAGAGCCCGCATCACCAAGTCAATCCTAGCCAAAAGAACAAAGATGGAGGCATCACACTACCTGACTTCAAACTATACTACAAGGCTACAGTAACCAAAACAGCATGGTACTGGTACCAAAACAGAGATATAGATCAATGGAACAGAACAGAGCCCTCAGAAATAACGCCGCATATCTACAACTATCTGATCTTTGACAAATCTGAGAAAAACAAGCAATGGGGAAAGGATTCCCTATTTAATAAATGGTGCTGGGAAAACTGGCTAGCGATATGTAGAAAGCTGAAACTGGATCCCTTCCTTACACCTTATACAAAAATTAATTCAAGATGGATTAAAGCCTTAAACGTTAGATGTAAAACCATAAAAAGCCTAGAAGAAAACCTAGGCATTACCATTCAGGACATAGGCATGGGCAAGGACTTCATGTCCACAACACCAAAAGCAATGGCAACAAAAGACAAAATTGACAAATGGGATCTAATTAAACTAAAGAGCTTCTGCACAGCAAAAGAAACTACCATCAGAGTGAACAGGCAACCTACAAAATGGGAGAAAATTTTTGCAACCTACTCATCTGACAAAGGGCTAATATCCAGAATCTACAATGAACTCCAACAAATTTACAAGAAAAAAACAAACAACCCCATCAAAAAGTGGGCGAAGGACATGAACAGACACTCCTCAAAAGAAGACATTTATGCAGCCAAAAAACACATGAAAAAATGCTCACCATCACTGGCCATCAGAGAAATGCAAATCAAAACCACAATGAGATACCATCTCACACCAGTTAGAATGGTGATCATTAAAAAGTCAGGAAACAACTGGTGCTGGAGAGGATGTGGAGAAACAGGAACACTTTTACACTGTTGGTGGGGCTGTAAACTAGTTCAACCATTGTGGAAGTCAGTGTGGCGATTCCTCAGGGATCTAGAACTAGAAATACCATTTGACCCAGCCATCCCATTACTGGCTATATACCCAAAGGACTATAAATCATGCTGCTATAAAGACACATGCACACGTATGTTTATTGCGGCATTATTCACAATAGCAAAGACTTGGAACCAACCCAAATGTCCAACAATGATAGACTGGATTAAGAAAATGTGGCACATATACACCATGGAATACTATGCAGCCATAAAAAATGATGAGTTCATGTCCTTTGTAGGGACATAGATGAAATTGGAAATCATCATTCTCAGTAAACTATCGCAAGAACAAAAAACCAAACACCGCATATTCTCACTCATAGGTGGGAATTGAACAATGAGATCACATGGACACAGGAAGGGGAATATCACACTCTGGGGACTGTGGTGGGGTGGGGGGAGGGGGGAGGGATAGCATTGGGAGATATAGCTAATGCTAGATGATGAGTTAGTGGGTGCAGCACACCAGCATGGCACATGTATACATATGTAACTAACCTGCACAATGTGCACATGTACCCTAAAACTTAAAGTATAATAAAAAAAAAGTGTTTACATAGCATTTACATTGTATTAGGTATTATGTATAATTCAGAGATTAAAGTATATGGGAAGATGTGCATAGGTAATACACAAATAAAACATTTTATATAAGGAACTTGAGCATCTGTAGATTTTGATATCCACAGGGGTTCCTGGAACCAATGCCCCGTGGATACAGAGGGACTACTATACTACCCCTTCCCCTTCCCAGATTCATAGGGGATTTTTCTTCATCTTTAACCATCAACCTGGTATGGTTACCAGTGTTAAAGCCCATGAGAGTGTGAAAACTATTTTTAATAAATAAGAAAAGTTAATAAAAGTCTGCTTTTAAAAAACCCACAACAGTTGATACCAGTGATAATACTTATTTTGTCTAAAAAGACTCCTGATTCCAAAAGAGGTATCAGAGAGGGTTTTGAAATCAATTGGCCATTAAAAGTTTCTGTAATATCACAGATAATAGGCAATTAGATGTGGTAATGTACCTCGGGGTGATAATTTCGTGTCCTTTAAATATCAAATTGCATCCTAAATTACACAACTTAATACAACAACGGTGTGCTATCAAAGTTTGCACTTGTTATTTAATATAAAAATAAATTCCATTTGATATATTTTTGTGTACATGAATTTTGTTTTTCAAGTTTTTAGAAAGCTTTGACAGTATATCTTGTTTATTTATAATAAAATATCACCATGTGATCATATAAATTTCAAAATGCAGGTAAAAACCCTGTGGGGTCTTGCATTTAACAACTATTTCCTGAATGCCTTCTGCATTCTTTCCTACAGACCCTGTGCTAAGAACTATTGCGATAAAAATAAATAAAGGTCTCTCCTGCTGAGTAATTTACACTGTAAAAATGAGACATGTAAAAATATTATACTACTGTAAGTGCTATAATAAGAGCTTGTAATATAACCTGTTCATTAACTGGCTCAACTGATATCTTTTTAGCACCTACTATTTATCACGCATTGTTCTAGACACTGGGAATGCCTTATCAAATAAATAATACATATATATATAGGAACACATACAGGAAAATGACACAAGAAATGGGGATAGAGAGTGCTAAGGGTAAGAGTGAAAAATTAAATAGAGTGATGGTGGAAGACTATGTTGATAACTTTAGTAACATCTGAGCAAAGATCCAAAAGACATAAGAAAGTGAGACTTACAGCTATCTTGGAGAACAAATGCCAGGAAGAGGAAACAGTAAATGCAAAAGCCAAAGAGAGGGAGCTTCCCTGGCATGTTTCAGGAAAACACAGACCCATTCAGCTAGAATGCAGTGAGCAAGAGGCAGAGAAAAAGAATGAAATTCAGAGAGGAAATAGGAAAGACGGAATATATAAATCATGAAGGTCATTTAAGGACTGGATTGTACTTTAAGTGAGATTTAAAACCATTGGGATATTTTGACGTGATCTACTACATGTTTTTAAAATGGCTGCTTAGACTGCTATAATAAGAATGAAACATCCAAGAGAATACATATTCTTCCCAAGCGTACATGGAACATTCTCCAGGGTAGACAATATATTAGGCCACAAAACAAGTCTTAAAAAATTTAAGAAGATTGAAATCATATTGAGTACTTTTTCTGACCACAATGGAATGAAACAGACATTAACAATAGGAAAAATGTTGAAAAACTCGCAAATATCTGGAAATTAAATAATGCTCCTGAACAACCATGGGCTCAAAGGAGAAATTACAAGAGAACTTTAAGAATATGTTGATACAAACAAAAATGGAAAAAAAACATACCAAAGCTTATGGGACGCAGCAAAAGAAATCCAAAAAGGGATATTTGTAGCAATACACACACCTACATTAAAATAAAAAAAAATCTTTAAAAATAACTTTACATTACACCTCAAGGAACAAAGTAAGCCCAAACTTAGCAGAAGAAATGCAATAACAAAGATCAGAGCAGAATTAAACAAAATAGAGCTAGAAAATATAGAAATATAGACAATATCAACAAAAACTGTGTTTTTGAAAAGAAAAAACCAACAAATCTTTAGCTACACTAACAAAAAGACAGCGAACACAAATAAGCAAAATTTAAAATAAGAGGGAAAACATTACAACTGATACCACAGAAAAACAAGGTATCATAAGAAACTATTATGAACAACTATGCATCACCAAATTGGATAACCTAAAATAAATGGATGAATTCCTAGAAAATGCAACCTACCACTGAATCAGGAAGAAATAGAAAATCTGAACAGACAAATAATAAGTAAGGAGATTACATCAGTAATCAGTCTCCCTTCAAAGAAAAGCTCAGGACCTGATGGCTTTACTGCTGAAATCTACCAAATGTTTAATCCAAACTAATACCAATCCTTCTCAAACTCTTCCAAATATTGAAGAGAAGGGAATACTTCAACTCATTTTACGAAGCCAACATTACTTGAATACAAAAGCCAGACAAGGACACTACAAGAAAAAAATACTGAAAGCCAATATATCTAACGAACACAGATGTAAAAGTCCTCAACAAAATCCTAGCAGAAAAAATTCAACAGCACATTAAAATGGTCACTCACTGGGCCAGGTGCAGAGGCTCAGGCCTGTAATCCAAGCACTTTGGGAGGCTGAGGCGGGCGGATCACGAGGTCAGGAAATCGAGATCACCCTGGCTAACACGGTGAAACCTCATCTCTATTAAAAATACAAAAAATTAGCTGGGCATGGTGGCACACACCTGTAGTCCCTACTACATGGGAGGCTGAGGCAGGAGAATGCCTGACCCCAGGAGACAGAGGTTGCAGTGAGCCGAGATCATGCCACTGCACTCCAGCCTGGGCGACAGAGCAAGTCTCCATCTCAAAAAAAAAAAAAAAAAAGATCATTCACTATAATCAATTGGGATTTACTCCAAGGATGCACAGATGGTTCAACATATGCAAATCAATAAATGTGATACACCGTAGTAATAAAATGAAGGACTAAAACCACATGATCATCTCGATAGATGCAAAAAAAGTATTTGACAAAATTCAAAATGCATTCATGATCAAAGCTCTTTAAAAAAAGGTAGAGAAGGAATTTACTTTAACATAATAAAGGCTCTATAAGACAAGTCCACAACTAATATTCTCAATTTTGAAAAGTTGAAAACTTTTTGTCTAATATCAGAGATAAGAGAAAGATTCCCACTCACCACTTCCATTCAATGTAGTACTGGAGGTCCTAGAGAAAGCAACAAGGCAAAAAAAGAAAAGAAAAAAAAGAAATGAAAACTATCCAAAGTGGAAAAAAAAGAAGTGAAACTGTCTGTTGGTGATGATCTGATCTTATATATAGAAGACCCTAAGGACTCCTCAAAAACCTGTCAAAACAGAAAACCAAATTCAGTAAATTTGTAGGTTATAAAATAAACATACAAAAATCAGTAGCACTTTTTATACACTAACAACAAATTATCTGAAAAAGAAATTTAAAAACAATTTAATTTATAATAGCGCCAAAAATGAAATATTTAGGACTAAATTTAATAAAGTGAAAGATCTATACACTGAAAACTATAAAATATTGATAAAAGAAATTTAAAAAGACATAAATAAATAGAAAGCTATTCCATGTTCACAGATTGAAATAATTGAAGTTGGTTAAGTGTCCAAACTACCCCAAAGGATCCACAAATATAATTCAATTTCTATCAAAACTTTAATGTGAATTTTTATAGAAATTTTTAAAAATCCTAAATTTGTAATGAACCAGAAAATACTCCAAATAACCCAAGCAATTCTGAGCAAAAAGGACAAAGCTGGAGGCATCCTACTCCCTGATTTCAAAATATAGTATAAAGCTATTTTAAGCAAAATGGTATGGTATTAGTGTATTAGTCTGTTCTCATACTGCTATAAGTACCTGAGACTGGGTAATTTATAAAGAAAAGAGGTTTAATTGGCTCATGGTTCTGCAGGCTGTACAGGAAGCATGGCAGCTTCTGCTTCCGGGGAGCCCTCAGGAAATCTACAATCATAGCCTAAGGCAAAGGGAAGCAGACACGTCTTACATGGTCAGAGCATGAGCAGGAGAGAGAGCAGGTAGGTGCTACACACTTTTAAACAACCAAATCTCATGAGAACTCACTATCATGAGAACAGCAGCTATAAGGATGATTCTAAACCATTCATAAGAAACCACCCCCATGATCCAATCACCTCCCACCAGGCCCACCTCCGACATAAGGGACTACAGTTTGACATGAGATTTTGCCAGGGACATAGATCCAAATTATATCAGTTGCCATGAAAACAGACACATCAATCAACAGTTTATTAAACAAAGTCTCTTTAATAAATGATGTTGGGAAAGCTGGACATCCACATGCAAATAAAATACAATTAGACACTTATCACATTATATACAAAAATTAACTAAAAATTTGACAAAAGACTACTATGTATGAACTGAAACTATAAAGCTACTAGAAGAAAATATAGGGAAAAATCTCCATGACATTGGTCTGGGCAATGTTTTTTGGATTTGACCCCAAAAGCACAGGCAACATAAGCAAATATGGACAAATGGGATTGCATCACACCAGAAAGCCTCTGCACAGCAAAAGAAACAACAGAGTGAAGAGACAGCCCATGCATTGAAAGAACATATTTGTAAACCATACATCTAATAAGGGGATAATTTCCAAAATATGTAAGAAATGCAAGCAACCCAAATTAAAACTACAATGAAATATCACCTCATTCCATTTAGAATGGCTACTATCAAAAATACAAATGATAACAAGTATTGGTAGAGATGTGGAGAAAGGGGAACCCTTGTACACTGCTGGTGGGAATGTAAATTGCTACAGCCATTTTGGAACATAATATGGAGGTTCTTCAAAAAACAAAAATAGAATTACCATATGATTCTGTAATCCCACCTATGGGTATATATTCAAATAAACTGAAGTTGGTATGTTCATATCTTCACTCCCATGTTTATTTCAGCATTTTATTCACAATAGCAAAGATATGGAAACAATGTAAGTATTAATCAATGAAAAAAATAGATAAAGAGAATGTGGTATATAAACACAGTGGAATATTATACTGCCGTAAAAAGAAGGAAGTCCTGTTATTTGTGACAACATGGATGGAACTGAAGGAGATTTTGCTATGCAAAATAAACCAGACAAAGACAAATAAATACTGTGTGATCTCACATGTAGAATCTAAAAAGTCAATCTCATAAAAACAGAGAGTAGAAAGCTGGGTTGAGGAGGAGTTGGGAAAAGGGAAGGTGTTGATCAAAGTGTATAAAGTCTCAGACTGGAGGAATAAATTTTATTGATCTACTGCACTATTGCACTGCATGGTGACCAGAGTTGATAATCAGGTATTGTATATTTCAAAATTACTAAAAGAATAGATTGTTAAATATTCTCACAGCAAAAAAATGATAAGTTGGTGAGGTGATAGATATATTAGCTTGATTGAGTCTTTCTACCCTATTCACAGAACAAAACATCACATTGTATTCCATAAATATATGCAATTATTTGTCAATTTAAAAATTTTTAAACAAAATAAATAACAAAATAAAATTTGAAACTGTAAAAAAAAAAAAAAAAAGAATAAAATACGGGAAAGTCTATAAGTAGAAAGGACCTTTAGGACAGGGATACTCAAAATACTAGTTCACAAGTAAGATATTTATGTCAAAATGTAAACCAAAGCACCACTTCTTGTGTCAAGAAAGTCTTAACAACAACAAAAACAACAACAACAAACTCAACTGTATGTGTAGTGATAGAGTTCATTTAGATTATGGTATAACCTCTTTCTCTCCTGTGGACCATGAGGCTTTTGATGGGCCATAATTTGTGAAGCATTGCTTTACAATATGACTGCAATGAGCTAAGTAAAATAAGATAGCATCTTAAATCCTGATTGTGTTGTGGATAAAGGAAAATGACTCATTTCTATATCGATAGATACAGGTATATATATGCCCACATCCTCACAGGATTTGATGATGGATTTAATATGAGATATAAGATAACTACAACAAAATCAACAGCAACACCAGTTTCTGAGCCTGAGATACTGGAGTTGCATTTACTGAAATGAGGAATATAGGAGATGAGGCAGATTTGGGGAAAAGATTGGGATTTTACTTTTAAGCGTATTAACTGTGAATGTCCAAACAGAGATACCAAATAGGCAGTTAGATCCCAGAATTCAGCAGGGCCTGAGCTAAGTATATACTACTTAGGTATACACCATCATTAAATATATGAAATTTAAAGCCTTAAAATTGGATGATATCACCAAGTCAATGAATGATCTTTATAAATACCAGAGAAGTGATCCAAGGACTAATATCTGGGACCACTTGATAATTTAGAAGTCTAGAACAGGAGTTGGCAAACTATGGCTAGTGGGCCCAATCTCATCTGCTGTCTGTTTTTGTGCAGCCCACAAGCTGAGAATGTTGTTTTTACATATATTAAGTGTTGTGAAGAGAAAGAAAACAAAAGAATATGCAACAGCAACCATAGGTAGTCCAAAAAACCTAAATATTTTACTATGTAACCATTTACAGAAATAGTATACGGACTACTGGTCTAGAAAATATGATAGGTGTGATCAATAAAATAAAAACCAGGGGAGTGTGGCATCCTGGAATTCAAGTGAAGTCAGCATTTCATAGAGAAGGGAATAATATTTTTGTCAAATAGGGATGATAGATCAAGAGCAATGAAAACATAGAACTGACTACTGGATTTAGCAGTATGGAGGATACTGATGGCCTTGACGAAACAGTAGTGTTCAGTAAGTTATGTGAATCAAGCCATGACTGGGAAAAGAGAGATTGAGAACAAAAATAGAGACTACCCTTCCAAAGAGATTTTCTGTAAAGAGGATCTGAGAAAAGAGGCAGTGCATGGCAGGGTGAATGGGCTAAAAGGGGTTAAATGGTTAAAGTAGGAATAATGAAAACTTGTTTTTTATGCCTATAAGAAAGACATAAAATGAATGGAAGTTTTCATGATGTGATGTTGGGAGGGAACTGTTACTGCAGAGATTCTCTTAAGTAGGTGAGAGCCAATAGGATCTAGTGACAAGTACACACTTAGATAGGGGCATGGGGGCAGTCCCTCTACAGTAACATGACGAAAGGGAGAGAACAATCTGGAGGCAAGGATACTGCCAAGTAGGAAAATGCTGTGACAGGAGCTTATGAAAATATATTCTGATAACTTCTATGTTTTTAGCAAGTGGAAGAAGGATCATTAACTGAGAATGAGGATGAGAGAAGAGATGTTGGAATTTTTAATAAACAGCTGAGAAAAATACTTGTTCCCAAGAGTAGGAAAGAGAATTTGGTGTTTTTGCCACCCAGCACTAAATATCAATCTAAAGGAACTGGTCATGAATTGAAAGTAATACAGTCATCAAGGTTTACTATAAAGGAGTAGGCATGGAGCTTGATTTAATCAGAGCTGGGGTTTTGCCAAGTGCACACAATAAATCTAGAGGGAGCAAATTAGTTGAATGTGATGAAAAAGAGTGATTATAATGACGGACCATGGACTCTAAGCCTAGTAAAGAAAAAGCAAGGACATGGTGGAGTCTATACAAATCCATTGAGTTATAAATATATGCTATATGCAATTGTTCTACATGTTATACCTCAGTACATGTTTACCTAAGTCTTAAAAAAAAGAAGACTCCAGCAGGATAAAATATAAGTACAAGAAAGAAAACATTGATTGGAAGCATACTAGTTGAGTTATTAGGAACAGACCAAGTGAGGGATATAAGCACAATAGGGAAATAGGTCCTAAGGGAGAACGTTAAAATATAAGACTAGAAGACTGACTGCAGAGAGTAACTTAATAAAAAACGTCTCCATTCATTCTAGAAATTGTATATATAATATAGTCAGCAAAAGTATTTATATTATAACTCACATAATGACTTTGAACTAGTAGAATGGAAACTGATTATATTTCTTATATTTGCAGAATTCAGAATAATCATGGTAAGATACTTAAGAATTAGAATTCAAAATAACCATAAGATGCAGAGAAGTTATACAACATAAAAATTTGTATTATGCCAAGTATCCTTGGGAAGTAAAACCAAGTACACAAATTAAAAGAAAAGAAAAAGTGGTTTTATGACCACATGGTGAAAACGGTCTAAAGGCCCAAAGTAGATGAAAGTTGAGTCTTGTCTCACACATAAGATGCCTTTGTATGAGGTAAGGTATAAATCTAAGAACACTCACATTGAGTTCAAAGCAGATCTGCAACCCCTGATTCAGTGCTATCTGGAGATTAATATGTGGTCATAGAACAGGAAGGAATGAGTAAGTTCTATCTGCAGTGCATGCAGCACAGGCCATGGGTGTGATAAGGATATTATCCTTATCATGGATTTGTTTTTGGTACCACACAGTATGGAGGGAACACTGATGGGTTCACACTTGGCTACACAACAATAAGAGACGGGTCATGAGCGAAAAGCTAAAGAAGCTGATTCATTCTTCTAGGAGACTTTTAAAAAGTATTACTGAATATTGATTATTTAATATGAAACATGCAGGTTCTTTTGAGCCTTTGTTTATTGATTGAGTGCCCTTTATAAAGATAAGAAAACAAGTGAATTTGAGCTTCAGTTTGCAGAATTAAGTACAGATATCAATAAGTAGAGAAGATAGAGAACAGCCACATCCTGACAGAACAAGAGCTGCCTCCCTTTGTGTCTTTCTACTTCAGCTTATAATACAGTTACCTATGACTAGAAATAAAAATGAAAAAACTACTGTGTCATCAACAAGCCAGAAATCAGTTCCTCCTGCCCTAGCCAACTTCACAGGCTGTTCCAGAAACAATGGCTGCAGCGCTACCCATCAGGAGTTTTATTATGTGGGGCCTCATTTTCTTTCCTGCCAGGCAATGCCGAGCTTCTCCTGCCAGCATAGACTTCTCCCTGCTGCTGTTTCTCTGCTTTGGGCACCATTACATTGCTTTACTCTCCGCTTCCACATGAATTTGGAGCTTTTCTTCTTCCTGTTTCCTGTGGCTTGCTGGGTCCTCACACATATCCTTGAATACTTAGGACATAAACAACACAACAGAGGAGAATGATGAAGCCACCTACAGAAGATCTATAGTCCAGCAGTTGCTGTGAGTAAAACTTCATTCAGCCTAGAGCTATGGAGAATATCACAAGTTTGTAAATCTTTCCTACAATAACTCATTTTTGAAAAACCAGGAAAGCCACAATCCAAGTTTTATAAAGTCAAAGATATCTCCTAGATCCTTGCCAAGCTGAAGTTGGCACTAAAGAGGCCATTGTCTCACTTCCACTTGCTTTCTATCTCCTCTAGTTAAAGTCATTCTGTACAATAAGTTCATTAAACTGTACACTTCAAATCTACTTCCCTTCTTATCTAAGAATCTACAGGTGACAAATAAAAGTGAATTCATACACCTGATAATTTTTGTATTTCTTGACATTATTCCCAAAGACTCGTGGTGTTCCCTTGCAATAAACACCTGATTAAGCCCTGACCTATAGCACATCTAACTCCCAAATAGTTGTAGAAGGGAATTTCCATTCTAACTCCCAAATAGCTTTCTAATTTTTTTATCTTCCAATCCCTGCAATCATCCCCCTAAATCATTCTCCTGGGCTTTTCATGTTAAATAGGCTCAGATTTCTAAAAAAAATTCGTTGAATGCTTATTGTTTGCCAGATTTCATGCCAGCACTTCCCCACACATAATTTGATTTCAGGTTTAAAACAACCTATGAAAAACAGCACATACCATTATAATCATGCCCTTTCAGATGAGAAAAACTGAGCCCTTCATAATGGTTAAGTGATTTTTATCAAGGACTCACAAGTACCAGAACCCGGGTCTTCCCAAAAAGGCACTCCTCTCTCTTGTAAATTTATTTAAATTCTTTATAAATATATTTAAATTTTATGCATGTAACATCCCTTGAGAGAGTAGGTTCTTAATGTGTTTTTTTTCTTTTCATAAAAAAAGTTCTTTCACATATTTATAGCTTGCCACCTTTAAGGTTCTATTGTTTTCCTGAAATTCTTTCAAACATATGCTCATTCTTTGTGGTATTCTCAAAGTCACGAATGTCAGTATTACAGGTCTTCACTTGCTAAGAAATGTGAACTTCTTTGCTTCTTATGGTCAGGTCTGCATGAGTGAGAATCTGCAAAGAATATTAATTCTCTTCTGGAATACAAGAAAGATAACTGAGCACAATATTCAGTAAGAAGAAGATCATTTTACTAATGATATTAAAAACCAGAAGCTAGTCAATCCAGGGAGGATTGTACAGTTTTACATTGAGGTTTAAGCATTTTATATTATGTCTTACACCACTTCTAAATTTTATAAGGGATTTAGGATCAAATAGTTTAATAATACTATTTATTAACCCTTTATGTACGTAAGAAAACTAACTAGAACAAGATTAAAGATATCAAAGTAATAATAAAATAATACATTTTTTAAAAGAGTGTAATTTATTTAACTGCTACAATGAGTAACACATGGATACACCATTCCTTAGTAATACCCAGCAGGCTGTAGTTACTATGAAAATATTTTTCCCTTTGTTTTCCAAAATATTCTAAATGTAGTCAAAATGTTAAAGTATCTTAGTCCATTTTTGCTGCTATAACTAAATACCTAAGATTGGGTAATTTATAACAAACAGATGATTACTGGCTCACAGTTCTGGAAGCTGGGAAGTCCAACATTAAGAGGCCAAGATCTGGTGAGGCTCTTCTTGCTGTCTCATCCCAAGGCAGAAGGGCAAAGGCAAGGGAAATAACTTGTGATAATGTCATCAATTCATTCATGAGGGCTCCACACTCATGACCTAAACACTTCTTTAAGGTGCCACCTTTTAATACTATTAGAATGGCAACTAAATTTCAGTATGAGTTTTGGAGGGGACAAACATTCAAAGCATAACAAAGTGGAATATTCAGTCTAAACTAGAATGATGTCTAGCAAATGAAAGATACTCTCTGAATCTAATATACTTATTATAGTTTAATAATATGACTTTCTAGTAGAAAACTGTACAAACTGTAACTTTTTTGGTAAAATGTGTTTCCATAGCCGTCTAGACAAATCAAACCCAAAGTCATAGAATTAGGTACAATTTTAGTGATTTAGATTAATCCCCTTTTTCATAAGTGAGGAAAAATGAAGGTCTGAATCATTCAAGTCTTTTGTTCAAGGTCAATATTGGTTAGTAGTTAAGTACAGGTTAGAACAAGTTATCTAATGTAATGTCTAAGGGTGTCTCAGTTAAAGGCTATTCTTTACTCATTCACTTATGGATTCACTCAACAAATAATACATCAAATAACCAATATACGCCAAATTTTGGCCTAAGGACTTGGTATCACAATAAATAAATAGACACAACACCACTATAATAATAAATAAATAGACACAACCCTGCCTTCAAGTAATTTTTAATTTGGTGGGAATATAGACATTAAATAACTAATAATGTACACTTAAATAACAATTGTGAAAATTTATCCAAACGAAATATGCAATGTGCAATGAGAGCAAATACTGCAAGAATCTTAGAAGGCTGCCCCTAAGAAGTTGCATTAGGAGAATGATTAGTAATGTCCAGAAAGAAAGCAGGGTAGGGATGAAAGACAGAAGTCAGAAAGCGAGAAAACCCAGACTCACAGAAATAAGAAAACAAGAGTTTGTCTGAGAAGTCTGAGCTAGGAAGGAGCTTAGTAAGTAAGAAAAATGAAAGAGGCTAACGTGACTGGAATCCCATGGGCAGGGAGACATGTAACATAAGATAAGGCTAAAGAGGTAAGCAGTTATCCTTGTGACTGTGACCCCAGTTATGGACTTGGGGCATTATTCTAAGTGCTCTGGGGAATCCATTGACTAGTTATCAGCAGGGTAATAATAAGATTACATATATTTTTTAAGAAAAATTTGCCTATTTTCTTTTATGGGCAAGAGGCTATGGAGATTCCAAAATTTATGATGCAAAGCCAGTTACCAGAATCCAAAATTCAAGGAAGAATGCAAGAGTCCAAGGACAAAGTGATAGTGGCTTTGATTAGCAGAATGTTTGTAGGAATGAAGAGAGGTAAAAATCCAGGGAATTATTTGGAATTTACAATATTCCCTTCTAAAACTATTTGAAAGTTAGAATAAATATTGTTTGATTTTTAATTAGGGTCTAAGAAATATTAATGTGCCAATTCTGGCTTTCATGCCTGGAAGCACAATGTTACCAATTATTGGAGGTACAGAAAAATTGATAAGTGACTTGTTGTTTGTTATGTTTCGGGGGAGAATGCCAAATTTGAGCTAACTCTGAGACATGCACAAGGAAATATCAGTTGAATATATGGCTATGAAATTTAAAACAAGTCTGAACTGTAAATTTGGCATAGAAGTCTCATTTCAAACATGGAAGTAGAAGAGATTTCCCCAGAAAGTAAATGTAGTTAACAAAGACTGAGCCCTGAGAATGTCCAAAATTTAACATTCAATTAGAGGAAATAGAGTTGAAAACGAATCTAGAATGCTCAGTTAAAGAGGAGGGAAACTAGAAGAGTGTAGTGTCATGAAAGTCAGTGGAAAAGAGTGTCTAAATTGTTTCAGAAGGGAAACCATGAGCTAACAATGTTAAGCTATGCAAGTGAGATGAGCTCTCTAAGGTTCTTACCAAAAGACATTTCAGTGGCATGATGAGAGCAGTCAAATTGCAATGGATTGAAAAGTAAACAGGAGAAACTTACAATAACTCTAGAAAAATTGGTTGTGGCAGGAGGAAAGAAATACGACAGTAACTACAGGAGGCTATGGAGGCCATAAAAGGCTGTTTTAGATAAGTTCTAGAACATCTTAAATATAAGGGTTCTTCAAATAGATCACAGAAAATGCATATTATCAAAAAATTATAGGTGGATTTCAAGAACTTTTTGTACCAAAATAAACTTGTATTAACGTGTTACAGTATGTCTGAACAGGATCTAGTTTGAGGCATTAAGAAGGATACGACATCAGTTTGAAAAGAACCTCTATCAGAGCAACATAAATTCTATTAAAACTGAAGCAAGAACAAACATCAAATTTATGGTGAAGCTTGGGTAAAAGAACAATAAAATCACTGATGCTTTGTGAAAAGTTTATAGGGACAGTGGCCCAAAGAAATCAGCCAGTTACAAATGGATAACTCATTTTAAAAAGGGATGAGATGATGTTGATGTTGAAGCCCATGGTGTCAAGGCATCCACATCAATTTATGAGGAAAAAAATTAATCTTGTTCATGCCTTAATTGAAGAAGACCTACAATTAACAGTAGAAACAATAGCCACAACATAGACTATCTCTATTGTTTCAGCTTACAGAATTCTGACTGAACATGTTGAGCAACCCTTCCACTTGACGGGTGCAGAAACTGTTGTGTCCAGATCAACTGCAGACAGGAGCAGAGCGTTCAGTGGAAATTTTAAACAAGTGGAATCAAGATCCTGAAGCATTTCTTCAAGGAATTGTAATGAGAGATGAAACATGACTTTACCAGTACTGTCCTGAAGACAAAGTACAATTAAAGCAGTGGCTAGCGAGAGGTGGAAGTGGTCCAGTCAAAGCAAAGTGTTCCTGTCAAGAGCAAAGGTCATGGCAACAGTTTTTTGGGGAACACTCAAGACATTTTTCTACTTGACTTTCTGGAGGGCCAAAGAACAATAGTATCTTCTTAGTATGAGAGTGTTTTGAGAAAGCTAGCCAAAGATTCAGCAGAAAAAATTCCTAGGAAATTTCACCAGAAGAGTCTTTCTCCACCATGACAATGTTCCCGCTCATTCCTCTCATCAAACAAGGGTGATTTTGTGACACTTTAATTGAGAAATCATCAAGCATGTATCTTAGTGTCCTAATTTGGCTTCTCCTGACTCCTTTTTCTTTCCTAATCTTAATCTGTAAAGGGCACCCATTTTTCTTCAGCTAACAATATAATAAAATATTTTTTAAAAGATTGCATCGAGGGTCGCAGGACCCTCAGTTCTTTAGGAATGAACTAAATGGCTGGTACATTGCTTATAAAAGTATCTTGACCCTGACAGAGCCTATGTTGAGAAATAAAGGGGCTTTTTTCTTATTTTTATTTTTTAATTCCATTTTTCTATGAACTTTTTGAAGTCCTCTCCTATTCTTTCCCATTTTCTCAGATTATTCAAAATCAAGCCAACATCATTTTTAGTTCTGATTTCTGGTTTCTCATTTCTAATCTCTAGGCTCCCTCTTGTTCCTGTGATGAAAAATCACAACTTATTCCCCAGTTCTAAAAATTGGATATCATTTTGTTTCCAGATATCATGACAGTATCTTGTTTTATTATGTACTACTTTTAGTAACAGAATCTCCATCCACTTCAAATGAAGACCAATCTGTAAAAAAAAAAATGCTCAAAACGGTAATATACGAGTTTATGCTTATCCATCACTGCATTCTGAAACCTCTTTCTTCCTCATTTGTCATCTCCATTCAAATTCCTTTAGCCTAACTGGGCCCAAGAAATTTCTTCATTGAACCTCTAGGATTCTACAAACACTTTTAAATAACTACTGCCTGACTCCATTAGCTTGAGACTTTTATTCAACTATTCTGCAGTGGGAACTATATCTATAAAGTGGGGAAACATGAGGTGATCCATTGGATTTAGGAATGAAATTATTAAACCTTTTATTTAGTTGTTTCATTTATCATATATTTTCAACAAAAATAAAAGAGAAATGATAACTTAGGAAACAGAGGGCATTTTTAATTCCAAAGTGTCAACAATGGCATTTCCAGAAGTCTTAGCTTATGTACGAATTTCTATTTTTTTTTAATTTCAGAGGCATAGAAGGGACAAAAGAAAAATAGTACCAATCTGTCTGTTTCAAAACCACCTCTTCAATATATTTATTTTGAAAGTTTTAAAAATATAGAAATGTACTCAAATTATAAGAATACAGCTCTGTGAATTTTTACAATGGAAACCCAGATCAAAAAATAAAACATTAACAATTAGAGAGAAAACCCCCCACTTGGCCTCTCCCATCTCCATCTATACTTCCCAACAGGGTAATATCTAAACCAATTTATTATATATTAGTTTGCTGGTTTTGGGATTTTTTAATTAATAAAATTAAATATATGTACTTTTTAAGTACTTGACTATTTTTGCTAACATTTACGTTTGTGAGATTCATCCACATTATAGTTTATTGCTTGGTAATGTTAAATTATATTAATTGGCACTATGAATTTATTCATTCTACTGTTGGTAGAAATTGGATTCCTCCCAGTTTTGACTATTATAAATAATGCTTCTGTGAGTATTCTTATGTCTTTGGATGCATATATGCCTGGATTTCTATTGAATATAAAGTTGGGAGTAGGAATACTGGATCACTGATTATGTATATGTTCAGTAGAAGTTGCAAACTATTTCCCAATAATTAAAATAATTCATTCACCATCAACAGTGAGACTTTTAGCACCTTCCCAACAATTGGTATTAGCAGAACATTGTATTTTAGCAATATTGGAAAGTGTATAGAGGTATCTCACTGTGGTTTTAATTTTTATTTCTCAAATGACTAATAAGATTGAACAACATTTATATATTTACGGAAATTTGCTTTTTTATCAAGGGGACCAAGATGGCCGAATAGAAGCAGCTGCAGTCAGTGACACGCATGGACAGAAACATGACAGAGCCCCCGAGGGGAGGGGCAGCCACCATCTTTGCTGTTTGGAAGAATCCACCGATCCGGCCTGCAGACTTTGGAGATTCCAAGCTGACCAGGGCAGAGGTGATTCCCCAGCACAGCATGGCTGTTTTCCTGAGGCGTGGCCAGAATGCTTCTTTAAACAGGACCCTGATCCACTCCTTCTCACAGGGAGGGACCTCCCAGCTGGGGTCTCCGGCCACCCCCACAAGTATTCTACAGAGTTCTGATTTCTATCTGGGATGGAGTGCCAGAGGGGCAGGGCGGGCCGCCACATTTGTTGTTGGGGTGTCTCACCCAGTCCAGCCTGCGGGCCTTGGAGCACCCAAACTGATGGCGGCTGAAGGGATCCCCAGCACAGCACAGCTGCCCTACCAAAATGTAGCCAGACTGCTTATATAAGGGACCTCTGATCCCATTCCTCCTGATTGAGTAAAAGCTCCCACTGGGGTCTCCAGCCACTTCCTACAGGTGCATTCAGACTGGCAACAGGTCAGTACCCCCCTGGGGGCTCCCAGAGGAAGGGGCAGGCTGCCCTCTGATATTTCTCAACCTTCACTGGTGACACCTCCAGTTACTGGAAAAACCGAGGTGACTAGGGTCTGGAGAGGAACCCCAGCAAACCGTAGCAGCCCTGTGAAAGACAGGCCAGACTGTTAAAAACAACATCAACAACAACATCAAGAAAAAAACCACAGAAACCCCATCCAAAGGTCAGCAACCCCAAAGATTGAATGTAGATAAGCCCACAAAGATGAGAAAGAATCAGTGCAAAAATGCTGAAAACTCAAAAAACCAGTGTGCCCCCTTTCCTCCAAATGACTACCACACCTCTTCAGCAAGGATTCAGAACTAGGCTGAAGCTGAGATGGCTGAAATGACAGAATTAGTCTTCAGAATGTGGATAAAAGTGAACTTTGCTGAGCTAAAGGAGCACATTGTAACCCAACACAAAGAAGCTAAGAATCATGATTAAACAATTCAGGAGCTGACAGCAAAAATAGCCAGTATAGAGAGGAACATAACTAACCTAATAGAACTGAAAAACACACTACAAGAACTTTACAACGCAATCACAAGGATTAATAGCAGAGTAGACCAAGCGGAGAAAAGAATCTCAGAGCTTGAAGACTGTCTTTCTGAAATGAGACAGGCAGACAAAAATAGCAAAAAAAAAAAAAAAAAAAAAGAAAAAAGAATAAAAAGGAATGAACAAAACCTCCAAGAAACATGGGATTATGTAGAGACCAAATCTACCACTAACTGTGGTACCAGAAAGAGATGGGGAGAATGAAAGCAATTTGAAAACATATTTCAGGATATCATCCAGGAGAACTTCCCCAACCTAGCTAGACAGGCCAACATGCAAATTCAGGAAATGCAGAGAACCCCAGTAAAATACTCCATGAGAAGATCATCCCCAAGACACAGAATCATCAGATTCTCCAAGGTCAAAATGAAAGAATAAGTGTTAGTGGCAGCTAGATAGAAAGGCCAGGTCACCTACAAAGGGAAGCCCATCAGACTAACAGCAGACCTCTCAGCAGAAACCCTACAAGCTAGAAGAGGATTGGGGGCCAATATTCCACATTCTTAAACAAAACAAATTCTAACTCAGAATTTCATATCCAGCCAAACTAAGCTTCATAAGCAAAGGAGAAATAAGTTCCTTTTCAGTCAAGCAAATGCTCAGGGGATCTGTTACCACCAGACCTGCCTTACAAGAGCTCCTGAAGAAGTACTAAATATGGCAATGAAAGAACACTATCAGTCACTACACAAACACACTTAAGTACACGGACCAGTGACACTTTAAAACAACCTCATAAACAAGTCTGCCAAATAATCAGCTAACATGATGACAGGATTAAATCCACACATAACAATATTAACCTTAAATGTAAATGGAAAAATGTAGGCAGGCCAGGATGGCTGGATAGAAACAGCTGCAGTCCGTGGCTGTCACAGAGAAGAATGAAAATGGTGACTGGATTGTGCACCTTCACCTGAGGTACCCAGATTCTCTCACTGGGACTGACTAGGTGAACGGCTTGACCCATGGACAGTGAGGAAAATCAGGGTGAGGCGATAGGGAACAAGGGGAGCCCCCGCCCCAGCCAAGGGAGGCAGTGAGTGACTGTGCCACCCATCCCGGGAAACCACACTTTTCCCAGTTTTTTTGCAACCCACAGATCAGGAGATCCCCTTGTGAGCCCATGCCACGAGGACCTTGGATCTGAAGCACAGAACTGTGCAGAGTCTTGGTGGGGTGCAAGGCAGCCAGTCAGGCATGCATGGAGACCCAGGAGTGATTTTGTCTACTCCTGCCCCTGGAATTCTGGAAAGGTGGGAGATCCATCCATTTATTCCTGCAGAAAGGGGGCAGAATCCAGGGAGCCAAGCGGCATCATTTTGGGGGCCCAGCTCCTACACACCTCACAAGTTAAGACCCAACAGTTAGGAATTCCAGCCAACCAGCAGTAGCAGGATGGAGACTGCCTGTAATGGACTGAGTTCCCAGGAAGAGGGGCAGCCCCAGTCTCTGCTGTTCTAGTCGGCTGTTCTAGCCTGCCTGCTCTGGGGAATGCTGGCAATCCAGACCGGCAGGAGTTTTCCGCAAAGCAGCAGATCATGGCCAGATTGCTTTTTAAACTGGGACCCCAATCCATCCCTCCTCACTGGGCAGGTCCTCCTTGTGGGAATTTCAGCTTCAACAGCCAGGATTATATGAACAAATCTCTGATCTCTCCCTGGGATGGAGCCCCCATGGAGAGGGACAGCCACTGTCTCTGCAGTTCAGTCAACAGCCTTTCCAGCCTGCTGGCTCTGGAGAGTCCACGTGGTCTGGATGAGGGGGGTTCCCCCAAGCACAGGGCACCAGTCTACCAAAAGCAACCAGACAGCTTCTTTAAGTGGCTCCCTGATCCCATTCCTTCTGAGTGGGTAAGGCCTCCCAATAGGGGTCTCGAGACACCTTCTACAGGGGTGTTCAGGCCAGCATCAGGTCGGATCCCCCTTGGGATGGCGTTCCCAGAGGAAGAAACAGGCTGCCATCTATGCTGTTTCACAGCCTTCACTGGTGATACCTCCAGGTGCAGGAGGGACCAAGGTGAATAAGGTCTAGAGTGGACCCTCAGCAAACTGCAGCAGCCCTACAGAAGATTAACCTGACTGTTAAAAGAAAAACAAACAAACAGAAAGCAACAACAACAACATCAACAAAAAGACCTCACAAAACCCCATTCAAATGTCAGCACCTCAAAGATCCTCAAAGAATATTACCACTGACCCCATACAACCAACCATCAGAGCATACTATAAATACCTCTATATATGTAAACAAAAAATCTAGAAATGGAAACATTCCTGGGCACGTATACCCTCCCAAGATGGAACCAGGAAGACACTGAGACCCTGAATAGACCAGTAATGAGTTCTGAAATTGAGGCATTAATAAATAGTCTACCAGGCAAAGAAAAGCCCCAGACCAGACAGATTCACAGCTGAATTCTACCAGAGGTCAAAATAATTGCTGGTATGATTCCTACTAAAACTATTTTTAAAAACTGAAAAGGAAGGACTCCTCCCTAATTCATTCTATGAGGCCAGCATCATCCTGATGCCAAAACGTGGCAGAAACACACACACAAAAAAGAAAACTTCAGGCCAATATCCTTGATGAACACCCATGCAAAAATCCTCAACAAAATACTGTCAAACCGAATCCAGCAGCACATCAAAAAGCTTATCCACCATGATCAAGCAGGCATATCCCTGGGATGTAAGGTTGATTCAACATATACAAATCAATAAACGCAATGCATCACATAAACAGAACTAAAGGCAAAACCACATGATTATCTCAATAGATGCAGAAAAAGCCTCTGATAAAATTCAACATCCCTTCATGTTAAAGGCTCTTAATAAACTAGGTATTGAAGGAATATACCTCAAAATAATAAGAGCCATCTATGACAAACTGACAGTCAATATAATGCTGAATAGGCAAAAGCTGAAAGCACCTTGACAACTGGCACAAGACAAGGTTGTCCTTTCTCAACATTCCTATTCAACATAGTATTAGAATTTCTGGCCAGGGCAATCAGGCAAAAGAAGGAAATAAAGTGGCCCAGCATGGTGACTTACGCCTGTAATCCCAGCATTTTGGGAGGCTGAGGCAGGCAGATCATGAGGTCAGGAGATTGAGACCATCCTGGCTAACACGGTGAAACCCCATCTCTACTAAAAATACAAAAAATTAGCTGGGCATGGTGGCACACACCTTAGTCTCATTAAAAAGAAGGCAAAGGATATGAACAGACACTTCTCAAAAGAAACATACATGCAGCCAACAAACATATGAAAAACAAAAAGGTCATCACTGATCATTAGAGAAATGCAAATCAAAGCCACAATGAAATACTATTTCACACCAGCCAGAATGGCTGTTATTAAAAAGTCAAAAAATAATAGATGCTGGCGAGGTTGTGGAGAAAAAGGAATGTTTTTACACTGTGGGTGGGAGTGTAAATTAGTTAAACCAGTGGAAGGCAGTGTGGTGATTCCTCAAAGACCTAGAAGCAGAAATACCATTCAACCCAGCAATCCCATTACCAGGTATATGCCCAAAGGAACATAAATCATTCTATTATGAAGACACATGCATTTGTATGTTCACTGCAGCACTATTCACAATAGCAAAGATACGGAATCAACCTAAATCCCCATCAATGATAGACTGGATAAAGAAAATGTGTTACATATACACCATGGATTACTACGCAGCTATACAAAGAAACAAGATCATGTCCTTTGCAGGGACATGGATGGAGCTGGAAGCCATTATCCTCAGCAAACTAATGAAGGAACAAAAAACCAAATACCGCATGTTCTCACTTATAATTGGGAGCTAAATGATAAGAACACATGGACACATGGTGGGGGGAACAGCACACACTGGGGCCTGTTAGAGGGCAAGAGGTGGGAGGAGGGAGAGGATCAGGAAGAATAGCTAACGGATGCTGGGCTTAATACCTAAGTGATGGGATGATGTGTGCAGCAAACCACCACGGCACACATTTGTTTACCTTATGTAATAAACCTGCACATCCCGCACATGTACCCCTGAACTTAAAATAAAAGTTGCATATTTCAAAAATGAAGTTTGCATGTGGACAGTTAAATGAACTTACAGATTACATTATTTGGTTCAAAGTAACCATTACAAAAAGGAATTTAAATCCAAATGAACCAAGAATTGAAAGTAATATTCATAAAGCATCAGAGAAAACCAAGAAAATGGCAAAGACAAATACAGGCTCTTCCTAAGCTACATATCAAAGATGAAATAATGATTTCATCATATCTAACAAAAAATTTGCAAAAACAAACCATCAAGACTACCTAAAATGTGGATTGACTATTTTTAATGATGAACTCCTACTTTATTATACATTGTGCCATTGGATATTAACTAATTCCTATCATTAATATTTATATTACATAAACAAATATATACATATTGAATGTGAATGCTTGTTTTTGTTTTATTGTTAGTGGCATGCATTCAAAAAATGTTTACAGATCTCTGAACTATGGTGTTGTTGCACACCATAGGATATAGATGGGGCTATCTCTGCTATCAAACCTCTTTGATGTTGATCACAAAGCTGTCTGAGTCCACCTTTGCGAATTTCTTGCTTTTAGGCTGCTCAGTATGATGCTCATCCCTCCATGCCTTTCCCTGTTATTAACCTGTTCTCTGTCAAGGCTACCAAGCGGCCCCTAGCAGGTTTCTCTTCAGATGCCAGGCTCCACTGGCATGACTGCGCTTTGTCCCCAAACCTGCCAATGAGTTTACCTCAACATCCATATTTCTCAAATGGACATGTCACATTTTTAGGTTAGTGTTCCCCTAATAGAGCCTATCTAACTCAGTTCCTCAAATGCCTGTTCCAAAACCCTGTAACTTAGATGACATTTACAAAATACAGTGAAAATAACTTATTGACTTCATGATAGCAAAAGTATACCCATTATAGATATTTAACTCCATAAAAGGAAGTGCTAAAATGAGAAACTGCATTAGCCTATTATTGTTTCTTCTTTTCAGTTGAAGTTATTTCTCACATCATCAAACGTTATAACTCAAAACATTAACTTTTAAATGGATCAGACCAAAACGTGTATTTTAGAAATCAAAACTTCCTTGTCAAATTCCTATGTGCTTGCTAAATATTCGACTTTTTTGTTGGCTATTGTTTAATTTTAAATATTCTATGTTGTAAAGCTGCTATAATTATGACAATACTTTTTAAAACTTTTTTAAACCCTAATGTATTTTTACCACCTGATTATACCCCCTTTTCTACTACTGGCAATGTATGATTTCATCTCAGAACACGTTAAATAATCCCCATTTAGTCTAGCTTTTGAATTTGATATTAATTGAAATACTTGCAAAAATAACTCACAGTTAATTTTGATTTTTCATTAATAAATTTAATTGAATTTGAAACTGGCATTGGGTCAGCAGAGGGAAAATGCTCTGCATTTGTCACTGAAATGAACACAAATAGAATATAGTCCAAATGCACTAGTTTAGCTCTGTGCATAATATAATACTTTCCTAGTTTAATGTGATCCTCCATGTAGACACAGTTTATTTATAACTGTAACCCACAATTATGGAAAAATAAGACTTTCCTCTGAAACTATTCTTTCCCTAAAGTAGTTTCTGGTTGTGGTAGGAAAAACTATGATGAGTTCTAAAAGACTCGATTCCAAACATTCAGGGAATACACACTCAGATCTTCCTGATAGGACTCTTTAAAATAGTTTTGCTGTATTTTCATTGCAAATAAGAGATGAATCAGACATTTTTTCTTTATAAATAACAGAATAGGTTGCAATTCAGTAAATACATTTATAATGTCCTTTATCACACACCAGAAAGCTGATATGTGCAGAGTTTGACTCCCTCTCCCATCCATTATCCACGAAAGACAGAATTGTTGAATTACACTTCTTTTTATCAGCCATAAACTCTTAGTTTTCAATTTGGGGCATAATTGGGAGTGTTGCAAAAGATTTTTATGATCTTTTTCCCCCAGTCTCAGAGCCAATTATTGTGCTATTTGTATATGCAGCAAATTATTCAAGTATTAGTCATTTCCCTTGTTACTTTCTTCCTGCTCAAATTGTGTTACAATAAATTCAGGCTGCATTTGCAGTTAGAGTATTTACTTTTATTTTTCATAATGTACCTACAAGTAGCCAAACTCAGTTGTTTAAACAGGTGGCAGTATGAGAGTGGAATATTATTCCTGAGAAAGGGTAGTCTTGGGCCTGATGTCAAAGTGTCCATGGTCAAGTTTGAATGGGGCAAAAGTTTCCTTTGGGGCAGTAACTGAAGACAGAGAAAAAAACTGCTACATCAAATTTTAAATAACCTTAAATGCCAAAGACAAATGAATGCTAAAAGGCTTGTGATTACTGAAGTCGCCCCATAGTTGCAGCCCAGGTAAACATGTCTAATTTTGAGAGGCAGAGAGTTCAATTATGAATTTTTCAATTATCTAGGCTTGAAACATAGGCCTGGGTGAAAGCAGTTGGAACAGAAAGGAAGAAATGGTGTCATAAGTGTATTAAGAAATTCTGGCAACTGATTCCACTGGGGACTGTGATCAAATGTGGCTTCCAATTTTAGAGGTGTAGTGCCTAAAAAATTATGTACTAACATACATAAGGGAATCAGAAAAGAACAGAAATAGGAGGGAAGATGGTAAATTTGCCCTAAAAGTTAAATTTGAGGTCGCCCTAAGACATACAAATAGGAATATCAAACCAGGCATGTAAGGGAGTTGGAGAGGACAAAAAAATAACTAGGAAAATTTCCTCTTCCACCTTGATTTTCAGTACACAAAGAACAAAACTATAAAGTAGGAAAATGTATTTATGCAAGGCTACCTTCCTTCATCAAGCCTTTCAGTGAATGCTTGAATTAGGGTCATGATATTCTCTAACTGAGGGGAATCCAATGTTTTGCCTTCCCTGGGACACATTGGAAGAAGAATTGTCGTGGGCCACACATAAAATACACTAACATTAATGATAGCTGATGAGCTAAAAAAAAATTGCAAAACAGAACCCATAATGATTTAAGAAAGTTTACGAATTTGTGTTGGGCCACATTCAAAGTCATCTTGGGCTGCATGTGGCCTGCAGGTCGTGGGTTGGATGAGCTTTCTAATCCATTCATTCTTTGATTCAAAATGCATTTATTGATCACATGTTACAGATCAGGAATAAAAATGGTAAAAAAGAAACATACTTAAGAAGTAGTTAAGGGGTAGAAACAACAGAATTTGTTACCAAATCTATAGTAGGAAAGACTTTCCAAAAATTCTAGACTTCTTGATATATAGATTAAAATAAACTAGGAGGTGACAGAAAAATACATTTAAAAAAATATTATTTGAGTCCTGGGGAACAACATTTCCAGAGCTGTTCCTCTGTTATCATGACACCCTGAGAGGAACAATGACCTCTGGCAGCCCAATGCTTACCATGGAGACTTTAGGGAATTTCATGATATCAAAATAAAATGACTCCACTCCAGTCATTCATTTATTTATCCATTAAACAAATGTTTATCTTATGCTCACCATGTGCAAAGTACTGTGCTAGGTACTAGACGTGGAGTAGTAGATGAACAGATAGGATCTCTTCTTAGTAGTGTTTAAAATGTAGTATTGAAACGGGAAAAGTTCCCTTGTCCCCCTCGCAGGTCATGTTATGGGGGTGTGGCTCGCTTCTTCAGTGCCCCACCATTCAAACTTCTAGGGAGCATGCAAACAGGCAGGCTGTGGGGCTCCGACCCCACGGCAGCATCTAGGGGTGAATGTTTACAGCTGAAGCCCCAGTGGGCATGTGTTATAGTATGTTCCATCTGTAGTTTATCCATCTGTAGACAGCTTGTGTTAGTCAGTTCAATTAGGCCCCCTGCCTAATTGAACTAGGAGAGAGGGCTTTCTGTATCCAGGGGTTTCTTGCCTTGGTGTACTGGAAAAATCAGATCACACGTGGGCTTGGAGGAGTGCAAGCTTTTATTGAGTGGAAGTGGCTCTCAGCAGGTGGGGGAGCCAGAAGGCAGATGGGGTGTGAAAGTGGTTTTCTCCCGGAGTTGGGCCGCTCAGCAGCCCAGGCTCTCCTCCAACTGCCCCCACTAAACTCCGCCTCATTCCACTGGTTGATGGTCTGCCAGCATCTATCGGTGTGCTCTTACACTGGTGCATTCCTGTCGAAGTCCAGCCGCTTGTGTGCGTGCCCGCTAGGGTCTCGGGGGGTTTTATAGGCACAGGATCGGGGCATGGTGGGCCAGGGTGGTCTTGGGAAATGCAACATTGGGCAGGAAAACGGAAATGCCTGTCCTCACTAAGGTCCATGGGCACAAGCCTGGGGCTGGAACCCTAGACAGAGACCAGGCCTTTCTCTAGCCAGCATTTCCCTGACCCCTCCCATATCAGCATTTTCACCTACCACAGATCTAACCCACTCTCAAGAGTCTTTCCAGACTCAGCTAGTCACTGGGCGCTGCCTGTTATTTCTTTCAACTACCTGTTTCCATCTTCATCACCTTAACCATTATTTAAATATCTGTAGATATGCCAACACCCGATAGTTAATAATTATTTAAGTCCACCAGAGGCTTGGAATTCAAGATACAGTACTCAACATACTTGAGATAGATGAGTATGCTCTGCTTAATGTATTTGTTAGAAATAGAAAAACATTGCATACTGTTAATCTGTTAATTTTTAAAAATATTTAAATAGTGTTTTATTGATAAAAGATTAGTTTAAATGGACAAAATTGCTGTGTAAAATAAGTATTTTCAAAATACATTTCTATAGGTAGAGATTATCTCTTAGTAAAAGAGCAATTGGCTATTATCAAAAGTATATATTTTGATTTGAGTAGCAAAACAAAAGAGGATTAGAAGTATAACAGTGGAGGCCCTCCTACCCTGCATAACCATTATTAGGTGACAGCTTGCCCTAAGTAGTACTTTTACTCAAACACACAAGCCTTACATTAACCACTTGCACATGCCTTTTTTCTTCTTTACAGATTTTTCTAGAAAAGTTAATTTTTATTAATTCGTTTCTCAACAGCACCTTTTACAGAGGTTACATGAGCTGAAATATTTTTGTTTAAAGCAGATTTAATTTTTAAGCTTTCAAAGTACCAAAAAGGTAAGGACTTTGCAAAACATGCAGTTTTATTGCAGAGAGCTTTCTTTTCCTACCCAAATTGCTAGGAATGTATTTTTAGGTTTCCGAATGAAACTATACTATAGAAGTTTTATTTTTTTCCTTTCTGAAAACTCACTTATGTATCAGAACTAATTGAAGACAACTGTCAACTGACATTCTGGCCAATGTCTTCTCTGTTTTTAGACTGGACCTAAAAATAACTAAAGAAAGTAATTTTTGCATGCCTGTAGGCAAAAGATCATCCTGTTCAGGAGAAAAGACCACTGGGTAAATTCCTTTATCTTTTAATTGATTAAATTCCCAACTGTTTAGATGTGGTCTACCCTTTTTAAAGGTTAGAACTTCCATCTGTCTATCGTTTTACATGAGACTCTGGGAAGTCTCACCTGCAGATGTGGCAGTCCCAGGGCAAAACGAGGGCAAGCTAAAAGTTGTGATCTTCCCAGTCAAAAAGAAGACAGCATTTTCTGTCCTTTTTTTTTTTTTTCCAGGCTTTCTATTTTTTTCCAGCCAGTCTTTCACAAGCAGCTCACTGGTTCCATAAATAAAGAGCAGCATCCTCTGTAGGCCGGGCTTTCCTGTAGGTGACCTTGTAAGAATGTCTCAAAACAGCCCATTCTCTGATTTGTGCATTTCTTGAGACCAATCAAGATCTTTTTTCCCCTTCCATTTGAGAAAGTAATGCTTAAATGATATCTAGATCTTATTGCTGAAATATTTTTTTACTACTCCATTCTCAAATGTTAGAAACTGATTCATTTGATGCCCAACTATGCAACTGCAGAAAGTATGACTTCTAAACTCCAATAGGAGAGAGAGGCTCCTTGGTTTAGAATTGTGAAATGACTAAGCCAGATCACACGGACTACAGATCTGGCTTAGACTTCCTCTTTGCTGAAGAGGAGAAAGATGAGATGGGGTTGATATTGAATAGAATTAATCAAGATTTTAAATACAGGAAGAAAACATATGAATAATTTACACTGAAATATTATTGGAATGGCATTTATCAGTTGTAAGGACCTTGAAATTAGAGATTGTGTGTATTTATATTCTGTGTGGCTAGCATAATAGTAGGGATTACGGTAGTAGTGGCTTAATGTTAGTGAAAGAGCAAAAGGGACAGATTATAAGACCAAAAGGGACAGAGCAAAAGGGAGGGGATTATAAATGCCCTTACTGTCTAGTGAAAACAAAAAAAACACCACCAGATAAAGGAATTTTGCAATTATGGCTACAGAGAGAGGCTATCCTTACTAAGACTGAAGATCACAGAAAGATAGTATTAGAAAAAAATGGATACATAAAATATTCCTTGGTAGTGAGTGTTCCTTCCATAAAAAATAATAACTTTATGGTTGTTTTAAACAGTAGTTGCAATTGGTATCTTTGCTTTCAGAAATGTCTAATAGGAAAAATAACCCCACAGAATTTGGAAAGATGGAACAATATCTTGGTAACGAAGTAGAAGTTAGAATAAGAGAGATGATGTGTTTTGTAATAAGAATCACAAAGAGACATGGTATCCTCATCCAATTGTCCTAATACTTACTAAGCATTGTTGGTGATTTGAGAAAAACTGAAAATTTGGAAAAATTATATTCAGATTCAACTTATTTGGAATCAATTAAAGTGAATAATTCGGCCGGGCGCGGTGGCTCACGCCTGTAATCCCAGCACTTTGGGAGGCCGAGGCGGGCGGATCACGAGGTCAGGAGATTGAGACCATCCTGGCTAACACGGTGAAAACTTATCTCTATTAAAAAAAAAAAAAAAAAAAAAAATTAGCCGGGCGTAGTGGCGGGCGCCTGTAGTCCCAGCTACTTGGGAGGCTGAGGCAGGAGAATGGCGTGAACCCGGGAGGCGGAGCATGCAGTGAGCCGAGATTGCGCCACTGCACTCCAGCCTGGGCGACAGAGCGAGACTCCGTCTCAAAAAAAAAAAAAAAAAAAAAAAAAAGTGAATAATTCTGGGCACCCACGAAGAATCAGACGAAGTTAAATAGCATAAGTATGTGCATATTCGTTAAGAAAAATAAAAATTTTCAAAAGATATATAGACTAAGAAATTTTGACTAAAAGAAAGATAACAGCAGAAGTTGAAGAATTTCTAGGCACAGAAAGTCAAGAGTACAGGAGACTCAGTGGTACTTATTAGCAAGCACATTATGAAAATGGCTTACAAAGTGGAGAGAGACTGTTGAGTCCAGAAGGAGCGATAAATTAAAACAATAGCCAAAAAGTGCTGTGAGTGTAGAACATCGCTATTCATTTGTAGTGAGTAAGTAGTAGAAGTAAGAGGCATAGAAGTGGTCATAAAAAGCATGATAATAGAGCTTAAAGGTTGAGTGATTCTAAGGACTGAAGAATTTATGTACACACATTCTTAGTGCCAATATTTACTAAGGATTTCTACAACATTCCAAGCTTTTTGCTATACTCTTACCAGATAATTTTTCACTTAGTTCTAATAACTATATTATGAAGATACTCTAAGTAAATCCTACATCTGTATAAACTAAGGTTTACAAAGGGCAACTTTCCCAAGGCCAAGTAGGTAGTAAGCCACATTTTCTAATTTATATCTATTAATTTCAGAGTCAGTATTCTTTATCACTAGGCTTTGTTCCACTCTCCATAGCTATAATTGTGAATGTCTAAGTGTAAAATGGTAGAAAATATTATTGATTATGAGAATTTTGAATACTTGCCCTGGCATAGATACATAAATTATAAGGCTAGAGGGGTCAAAGGGTCATCAACACACAAATGTTAAAGGCTAATAGCAGATAGAGAAAAAGTAGGAAATTGTGAAAAGGGAAAGAAGGAAAAGGCAAGATATGACAAAAAATAAAAATAGATGCCATAGGCAGAGGAATAACAACTGAAAGATAATAATTAAGTCATATGGCAGAACAATGATCCAAAAGTAAACATAAAAAAATAACAATTATTGGCCAGGCGTGGTGGCTCATGCCTGTAATCCCAGCACTTTGGGAGGCCGAGAAGGGCAAATCATGAGGTCAGGAGATTGAGACCATCCTGGCTAACATGGTGAAACCCCATCTCTACTAAAAATGCAAAAAATTAGCCGGGCATGGTGGCGGGCACCTGTAGTCGCAGCTACTCGGGAGGCGAGGCAGGAGAATGGCGTGAACCCAGGAGGCGGAGGTTGCAGTGAGCTGCGATTGCGCCACTGCACTCCAGCCTGGGAAAATGAGCGAGACTCCGTCTCCAAAAAGGAAATAAAAAAAAATTATCATGGGTTCCAGAAGGCATGGGGCAAGTGATCTTTACTGGAGAAATAAACAAGATAAAAAGGAAATGGAAAACCTAAGAATTTCTTTTTTTTCTTTTTTTTTTTTTTTAAGATGGAGTCTCATTCTGTCACCCAAGATGGAGTGCAGCGGCGTGATCTCGGATCACTGCAACCTCCGCCTCCCAGATTCAAGCAATTCTCTTGCCTCAACCTCCTGAGTAGCTAGGATTACAGGCGCCCACCACCATGCCCGCCTAATTTTTTTGGATTTTTAGTAGAGAGGGGGTTTCTCCATGTTGGCCAGGCTGGTCTTGAACTCCCGACCTCAAGTGATCCTCCTGCCTTGGCCTCCCGAAGTGCTGGGATTACAGACATGAGGCACTGCACCCAGCTGAACCTAGGGATTTCAAAGAGGC
Organism: Homo sapiens; assembly: GCF_000001405.40. Classification (NCBI taxonomy): domain Eukaryota; kingdom Metazoa; phylum Chordata; class Mammalia; order Primates; family Hominidae; genus Homo; species Homo sapiens. The sequence goes on along the minus strand of NC_000011.10, from coordinate 96,742,055 downwards.
CATACACCATAAAAGAGGGGATCTCAGGTACAAATAAGAAGCAATGAGTGGGTGTGTGTGTGCTGAGGACAGGAGTGAGGCTGAGTGGGAGGATGGTGAAAGTGTGAGCTCATGATGCTGATCTGCGAAGCCCTCTACACTACTTACAAGTCCTGTGACCTTGTGCCAGTTACTAACCCTCCTTTCTCCTGTATCCTCATAGGTGACAATAAATAATGATAGTACTACAATCCCACAGAGTTATTGTTTAATCTCTGACTCTGATCTCATAGCTATTAATCTATAACCACCATATTCTAGAAAGATGGAACATATAATATCAGAACCTATACCTTTGACCTTTTGATTGGCTCAGTGTCCCACCATTCAAATTGTAGTCCTCTAGCATCTAGTTTCACGAGGATGGTGGCACCTAAGTTTTATTATGCTATTGTCTCTACTTTAGCAAATGTAGGAAATTTTTCAGAACATTTAAAAGTTCTGAAAAAGTTTTAAAATACCTAATTTTCTGGAATTCTATAAATAGCAGTATCCTCTGGAAGAAGCTGCCTAGCTCAGATTTCTCCCCGTAAGAGAAAGAAAACCTAATTTTTTATTTTACAGTTTTCCAGAAAGGGTAGTTTTACAAATGTCCTTGCTAATGTATTTGCTCTCAGTGGATTCCATTGTATGAATCAGAATGAAAGAAAAATGCTGGGGGTGCCAAAAACCTGAAACCAACTGTCCACTGCTAAGATGCTAAGTAGGCAGGATTGCGAATTCATTCTGCTGCCTTTGTCTTTATAGAGGTCACCATTCAGGACAATCCAGAAAGAGGTGATACCTACTAGTGAGTAGTGATTATTCAGCGTCATAGTCAGCGCAAAAGAACACATACACCATGTGAACGTGAGCCAAAAGTTGCTGATTAGAGTATAGTATAAAAATAAAATGGGTCACAGCCAAAAATATCTCAGCAACCTAAAGAACAAGACAGCGCCTCACTTTGATGGCATGGTCCCTTAGTTCTTTCAAAAGGAAAATGTTCTTTTATTCATTCATTCCACGAGTCAGTCCGATAATCACTGATAAAATGCCTTGACATCATTCTAAGTGCTATACTGAATTACACTGATGTGATGCCTGATATCAAAGAAAAGAAATTATCTTTAGACATAAAGACAGACATTAAACAATATGCTGCTGTGATATGAGGAAGCCCAATTACTAAAATGCTTTTCCCAGTGCTACTTATGAAATGGTAGAGAAGTACATATGGAGTGAGACTGGTGGAGGTGGAAATGCCAGCTCTCTACCTGCTATTCCTTGTACATGGGAACAGATGACTTATTAATACTACATCCCAGAATCAGGCATGAACCTACCGTGGCATAGGTAAAGCAGAAAACAATCACAGGCTTTCCTAGATATCCTCCCTACAAGATCTGCCCCTGAAAAATTTGTGGCAAGGAGTAATAAACAATAATCCTGGAGCTTACTAGATAATGCAATAATTAATTGCCAAAATTATTAAATAAATTACATGAATGCCAGCAGGATAGGAGAACTCCCACTACAGTTTATCCTCCCAAACACTGGGTATGATATACTGATTACAAAAATTGTGTCATTGAGCACCCTTCACTGCATCCATGTTCTTTGCCATATGACTTTGCAGCTCCACCTATCAAAGTCTATTTCTCCCTTCCTTCCATAAAGCCTGGATTTTGTTTGTTTGTTTGTTTTTTGGTGTGTTTTTTTTTGTTTGTTTGTTTGTTTCTTGAGACGGAGTCTTGCTCTGTCACCAGGCTGGAGTGCAGTGGTGCAATCTCGGCTCACTGCAACCTCTGTCTCCCAGGTTCAAGAGATTCTCCTGCCTCAGCCTCCCAAGTAGCTGGGACTACAGGTGTGTGCCACCATGCCCAGCTAATTTTTGTATTTTTAGTAGAGATGGGGTTTCACCATGTTGGCCAGATGGTCTTGATCTCTTGACTTTGTGATCTGCCTGCCTCGGCCTCCCAAAGTGCTGGGATTACAGGCATGAGCCACCATGCCCAGCTAAGGCTGGATTTTAGATTTACTTCGACCAAAAGAATTTTGCAGAAGTGATTGTGTGCCTTTTCCAAGCCTAGACTTCAGAGGCCTTGTACGTTTCTGCCTTTTTTTTTCTTTTTTTTAGAAATGCTGATACTTCATGAGAACAAGTCCAAGCTAACCTGCTAGATGATGAAAGATGGTTCAGAGCAGACATGAATGTGTCCTGATGCAGCCAGTCCCAGCCAATTTATGAACTGTTAGCTGACATATGATGAACCCAGGAGAGATCAGCTCAACTCAGGGCAGATTAGCACAAGAGCTAAGCCAACCTCACAAGACTAGAGTTAAGCCACTAACATTTTCAGGTGTTTTGTTATACAGAAATATCAAATACCTTGATACCATGGTATTGTCAGACTTACTCTCCTTGATTAATTAAAATCTGGTAGCTCTGAAATGGAACCGCCGTACATGTGCACCAGAAAACATGAATAGAAACATTCATGCCATAATTGTTTGATAATAGCAAAAAACAATTTTTTAAGTGAAAACCAAATGTTAAAAACAAGGGACAAAAAATGTGTAGTATATTGCTACAATTAGAGCACTGTTCATCATTAGATATGGATAACTACAGATACAGGTATCATCATGGATAATTTTCAAGTAAACATTAACCAAGTAGGACTCCTTTTATATAAAAATAATAGAACTTTAAAAATACTGTTAAGAGTATTTAAACTTCAAAAATACATGTTACCTACATATGTTGTAAACTATTTTGAAGAGGCAAAGAGATAATTAAGACAAAATTCAGGTTAGTAGCTAACTTCTAGAGTGGTGGGAAGCAGAGACAAGATGGCCAACTAGATGTAACCAGGAAGCACTTCGCCCACCAAGAGAGACCAAAATATCCAGTAAACTAACATACTTTGAAAAACCTTTTGAGAGAAAACACTGAGAGCTGACAGAGAGGTGATGCAGACTGAAGAGGGAGGCTGAAGAGGGAGAAAGCTGCGAACCCCACATGGACTTGCTAAATGCCAGGACTAGTTCCCAACCCTGAACAGCTCCTAAGGAAGGGGTGAGTGAAGTGACAGCAGGACAGGCAACCCACTCTCACTGCGGAGCTCTGGGATCTTAACTGCAAGAGATCCCACCACTCCCCTGTGGCCTGGGAGCACTTCTGTTCCCCCAGCACAGCCAGTGCCCAACCCCAAGGGGCCAGAAGACAAAACAGCAGGCCCAGTCCCAGCACCTAAAGGGTTAGGGTATGCAGCTCTGGGGTGCAAAGCTGAGATCTGTGGCTGGAACTCAGCACGGGAAGAGCCCTCACTCTCAGAATACTGAGAAGATTGTGAGGCGCAGGTTCCTGGGCTGGTATGCCTTCCTGGAGCTGGGCATGCATCCCTTTACAGGGCTGGTCCAGGAAAGGTGTGGCCTGGCCACCAGCAGCAGCCTCTGCCTGAGGCAGCCCCACAGTGCCTGGAATGTCTAACAGGCCAACGATTTGTGTGCAGAAGGCTTGGGACAAAACTCGCTGGGCAGGCCACATATTGGAGCAGCTGGGTGGTCTGCACAGCTGTCTGCTGGGCAAAAGAATACAAAAAAAAAAAAAAAAAAACATACAGCCCTAGCCCCAGGCTATGAGCACCTCATAGGCTGCACACCCACAGCAACACTGCCCTACCAGGTGATACCCCACCTTTGACCTAATGCATCAACACACCACCAGTGGACATACCCAACAACCTGCTCCGATTTTGCCAAGTACAGAAGACCAGTGGGCCTCTGGAGTGTTGTGGGTCTCCTGGTAACCTATCCTTCAGCTTGGGTAGCCCCTAAGGGAGAGGGGAGCACAGCCCACCAGGGCCCCCCTTGTGGCTAACGAAGTGTGGGCTTGGCACCAGTGATTGGAGGGGGCTTCCCTGAGGCCCAGTAATGGACCTGGCAAGGGGATCATCTTTTCCCGCATTGCCCTCCCTCCCCATCTCCCCCATCAGAAAGCACTGCTATAAACACACTGAATTACAAAGAGCCATGTGGCTGAAATCCTATCCTCTGGTTGTTACTCATAAAAGTCACCTACTAGATCACATCCTGAACAACACCACCAAAAAAATTCTAGCATATGTCACCTACGAAATCCAGTGCAAGAATCTAGCTACAAATGAAGATCCCATAAAGAGCCTTGGCCCTCTGAAAGCACCCAGAAATGAAGCCAAACAACTATACTCAATTTACACCACAGTCAAACCCTCAAAGGAAATAAAGAATATAAAAACAGAAACCCCCATCCAAACAACAGCAAATTCAAAAAGATAAAGGAGCACCAGCCCTCTCAGATGAGAAAGAATCAGTGCAAGTACACTGGCAATTCAAACAGTCAAGAGTGTCTCCTTACCTCCAAATGATCGGACTAGCTTCCCAGCAGTGGTTCTTAACTGGATTGAAACGGTTGAAATGACAGACATAGAATTCAGAACCTGAATGTCAAGGAAACATATCAAGATTCAGGATAAAGTTGAAACCTAATCCAAGAAATCCAGTAAAACTACCCAAGAGTTGAAAGACAACACAGCCATTTTAAGAAGGAGGCAAACTGAACTTCTGGAATTGAACAATTCACTACAAGAATTTTATAATACAATCAGAAGTCATTAAACAACAGAATAGAGCAAGTGGAGGAAAGAACAACAGAGCTTGAAGACTGATCCTTTGAATCAATTCAGTCAGATAAAAGTAAAAAAAAAAAAAAGTATTTTTAAAAATGAACAAAATCACGGAGAAATATGGGATGACATAAAGAAACCAAACCTATGACCCACTGGCATTCCTGAAAGACAAAGAGAGAGAGTAAGCAACTTGGAAAACATATTTGAGGATACAGTGCATGAAAAATTTCCCAATCTTGCTAAAGAGGACTACATGTAAATTCAAGAAATTCAGAGAACACCTGTGAGGTATTATGCAAGATGTCCATCCTCAACATACATAGTCATCAGATTCATCAAGGTCAAAGCAAAAGAAAAAAATCTCAAAGGCAGATAGAGAGAAGGGTCATCACTTAAAAAGGAACCCCATCAGGCTAGCAGTGGACTCTCAGCAGAAAACATACATGCCAGAAGAGATTGGGGCCTATTTTTAGCACCCTTAAGAAAAAAAAAATCCAACCAAGAATTTCGAGTCCTGCCAAACTAAACTTCATAAGCAAAGGAGAAATGAAATCCTTTTCATACAAGTAATGGCTAAGGGAATTTGTAACCACTAGACCAGGCTTACAAGAAATCCTTAAGGGAGTGCTAAACATGGAAATGAAAGAACAATTACCAGCTACCACAAAAGTACACTTAAGTACATAGTCACAGACACTATAAAGCAATTACACAATCAAGCCTGTATCAAAATGATGACAAGAGCAAAATCTCACATATCAATATTAACCTTGAATGTAAATCATCTAAACACCCCTCTTAAAAGGAATAGATCGGCAAGTTGCATTAAAAAAAAAAAAAAAAAGACCCAACCATCTTTTGTTACAGGCTCAAAGTAAAGGGATAGAGAATCATGTACCACGCAAAGGAAAACAAAAAAGAGCACAGGTCACTACTTTTCTATCAGATGAAACAGACTTAAAGCAGTAACAGTAAAAAAGGACAAAGAAGAGCATTACATAATGATAAAGCATTCAATTCAATAAGAACACTTAAATATCCTAAATATATATGCACACAACATCGAAGCACTCAGATTTATAAAACTAGTTATTCTAGACCAACAAAAAGACTTAGACAGCCACACAGTAATTGGCAGAGAGTTCAACACCCAACTGAGAGCATTCGATAGATTATGAGGCATAAAATTAACAAAGAAATTCTGGAATTAAACTTGAAACTTAACCAATTGGATCAAATAGGTATCTACAGAATACTATCCCCAAACCACAAAATATACATTTTTCTCATCCACACACAAAACATACCCTAAGATAAACCACATGCTCAGCCAGAAAGCAAGTCTCAAAATATTTTTTTAAATTGAAATCATACCAGGCACACTCTCAAACCACAGTGCAATAAAAACAGAAATCAATATCAAGATGATCTCTCAAAACTGCACAATTACATAAAAATTAGACAACTTGATCCTGAATGTTTCTTGGGCAAACAACAACAGTAAGGCAGAAATCAAAAATTTCTTCAACATTAATGAAAACAAAGACACAACATACAAAAGTCTGTGGGATACAGCTAAAGCAGTGTTAAGAGGAGAGTTTATAATGTTGAATGCCAACACAAAGAAATTAGAAACATCTCAAATTAATACTCTAACATTCCACCTAGAGGAACAAGAAAAGCAAGAACAATACAAACCCAAAGCTAGCAGAAGAAAAGAAATAACTAAAATCAGTGAAGAACTGAATGAAACAGATGCAAAAGTCCATATAAAAGATAAATGAAACACAAAGCTGGTTCTATGAAAGAATAAACATGATTAATAGATGGCTAGCTAGATTAACAAAAGTGATAGAGAAGATACAAATAAGCAGAATCAGAAACGAAAAAGATGGCATTACAACCAATCTCACAGAAAGACAAATGATCCTCAGAGACTACTATAAACACCTCTACAAACACAAATTAGAAAATCTAAAAGAAATGAATAAATTTCTGGAAACACACAGCCTCCCAAGATAGAATCAGGAAGAAACTGAAAACCTGAACAAATCAGTAATAAAAAATCCACCAACAAAAAAAAAGCCCTGGACTAGACATATTCACAGCCAAATTCTACAAGACATACGAAGAACTGGTACAAATCCCACTGAAACTATTCCTCAAAAAATCAAGGAAGAGGAACTCCTCCCTAACTCATTCGATGAAACCAGTATTGTCCTGATACCAAAATCTGGCACAGGCACAATGAAAATTAAAAGCTTCAGGCCAATATTCCTGATGAACATAGATGCAAAAATCCTCAACAAAACACTAGCAAATCAAATCAATTAGCATATCAAAAAGTTAATTCACCATGATCAAGTAGACTTTATTCCTGTGATACAAGGTTATTTCAACATATGCACATCAGTAAATGTGATTTGCCAAATAAACAGAATTAAAAACAAAAACTTTTGGTCATCTCAATAGTCGCAGAAAATGCTTTCAATAAAATCCAACATCTCTTTTTGATTAAAGAAAAAAACCTCAACAAACTAGGCATCAAAGTAACATACCTCAAAATAATAAGAGCCATTTATGACAAACCCACAGTCAACATCATACTAAATGGGCAAAAGCTGGAACCATTTTCTTTGAAAGCTGGAACACAAGGATACCTACTCACCATTCCTGTTCAACACAATACTGAAAAGTCCTAGCCAGAGCAATCAGGTAAGAGAAAGACCTAAAAGGCATCCAGATAGGAAAAGAAGTCAAACTATCTCTTTTCACTGATAATATGATTCTATACCTAGAAACACCTAAAGACTCTGCCAAATGTCTCCTGGAACTGATAAATGACTTCAGTAAAGTTTCAGGATACAAAATCAATGTACAAAAATCAGTTGCATTTCTAAATGCCAATAATCCTCAAGCTAAAAGTCAAATCAAGAATGTAGTAGCATTTACAATAGCCACAGAAAGAATTAAACACCTAGGAATACAGCTAACCAAAGAAGTAAAAGATCTCTGCAAGGGGAACTACAAAACACTTCTGAAAGAAATCAGAAATGACACAAATAAAGAGAAAAACACTCCGTGCTCATATATTGGAAGAATCAACACAGTTAAAATAGCCATACTGCCCAAAGCAATTTACAGATGCAGTGCTATTCCTTTCAAACTACTAACATTATTTTTTTACTGAATTAGAAAAAAAAAACTATTCTAAAATTCATGTGGATCGAAAATAAAGAAATAGCCTATATAGCCAAAGCAATCTTAAGCAAAAGAAACAAATCCAGAAGCATCACATTACTTGACTTCAAACTATGCTGTAAGGCTACAGTAATCAAAACAGCATGATACTGGTACAAAACAGACACTTAGACCAATGGGACAGAATAGGGAACCCAGACATAAAGCTGCACAGCTACGGCTATCTGATCTTTGACAAGGTCAACAAAAATAAGTAATGAGGAACAAAACTCCCGGTTCAATAAATGGTGTTGGAATAACTGGCTGTTTGTTTGCAGAATAATGAATTAACTAAAAACAGATTAAAGACTTAAATTTAAAACCTCAAAGTATAAAAATTCTAGAAGAGAGCCTAGGAAATATCCTACTTGATAAAATCATTTGCAACGAATTTGTGGCCAAGTCCTCAAAAACAATTGCAACAAAACACAAACTTACAAATGGTATCTAATTAAGTTATAGAGTTTCTGCACAGAAAGGGAAACCATCATGTTAGTAAATAGGCACCCTACAAAATCAGATAAAACATTCAAAAACTAAGCATCCAACAAAGGTGTAATATCCAGAATCTCTAAGGAACTTAATTCAATAATCAAAAAACAACCCCATCAAAAATAAGGCAAAGGACATGAACAGACATTTCTCAGATTAAAACATACGGCTGGGCTTGGTGGCTCACGCCTGTAATCCCAGCACTTTGCAAGGCCAAAGCAGCCAGATCTCTTGAGGTCAGGAGTTCGAGACCAGCCTGGCCAACATGGCAAAATCGTGTCTCTACTAAAAATACAAAAACTTGCCAGGCACTGTTGTCCACGCCTGTAACTCCAGCTACTCGGGAGGCTGAGGAACGAGAATTGCTTGAACCCAGGTGGCAGAGGTAGCAGTGAGCCAAGATCACATCACTGCACTTGAGCCTGGGTGACACAGTGAGATTGTCTCAAAAAAAAAAAAAAAAAAAAAAAAAAAGGCAAAAAGGCTTACAAATACAAGTGGCCAAAACGTATGAAAAAATGTTCATCATCACTAATCATCAGAGAAAAGCAAATTAAAACCACAATGAGGTACTATCTCACACCAGTCAGAATGGATTTTCTTTAAAAGCCAAAAAATGATAGATATTGGTGACACTGTGACAAAAAGGAATGTTTATACACTGTTGGTGGAAATGTAAATTAGTTCAGACACTGTGGAGAGCAGTTTAGAGATTTCTCAGAGAACTTAGAACTACCATTCAACCCAGCAATCCCATTACTGTGTATACCCAAAGGAAAATAAATAGTTCTACCAAAAAAGAAACATGCATATGTATGTTAATTGCAGCACTATTCACAGTCACAAAGACATGGAATCAACCCAGGTACCTAGCAGTGGTGAACTGAATTTTTAAAATGTGGTACATATACACATGGAAAACTTTGCAGCTATAAAAAGGAATGAAATCATGCCCTTTGCAGCAACTTGGATGCAGCTGGAGGTCGTTATTCTAAGCAAACTCATCCAGAAACAGAAAATCAAATACTGTATATTCTCACTTATAAGTGGGAGCTAAACATTAGGTACACTCAGACATAAAGATGGGAACAACACACACTGGGGACTATTAGAGGGGGATAGAAGGAGTGGGTCAACGGATGATAAACTACCTATTGGTTACTACACTCATCACCTGGGTGACAGGCTCAATTGTACTCCAAATCTCAGCATCATGCAATATATCTTTGTAACAAACCTGCACATGTACCCCCTGATTCTAAAATAAAATATGAAACAAAGAATAGAAAGGTGGGAGGAGGAAGAGATTGGGATGGAGCACACTAAGGACTTCAAAGGTACTGAAAATGTTCTATGATGCAACGTACATATCCTGTATACTTGTGGAAGTAGCATTTTGGCATAGTTCTGGAAGGATAAATAAGAAGCTGAACACAGTAAGTACCTCCTGGGCAGGGAACAGCGTGACTGAAAGACAAAGGAAGGGGACATTCTGCTATATGTCATTTCAAATAATGAAAGAGAATGGATGTTCTATCATGAACCTATATTAACTACTTTAAATAAAAAAATTAACGTTAAAAGTTACAAAATCAAAATATTGGCATGTGATTTTGTATTTCTTGGCGTTTTTCAAATTCTGTATAATGAACATGAACAGCTTAGCTTTGTATGTTTTAATATGGGACTGGATTTACAATGCCTGCTTCACCTCTTAGTTAGAGGAAATTGTGTAATTTCTCTAAGTCTCAATTAGATCCCTTTGTAATATGCTCCAATAGTGTAATTTTATTACCTTCACCACACCTGTAGATAATCAGTCTTCTCTGTATTGTCTACCAGACTATAAAAGCTTTAAGAAGGCAAGAATAGTGTCTGGCTTATTAATTGCTTGATCCCTAATGCCTAATACAGTGTTTGCCCACTATAACCATTGTTGGTAATTATTACCTATTTACTATATATAATATTTACTATATGGAATATATAGTAAATATGTAATGTAGTACATATATTAAATATTAAATATAGTAAATTATGTTATAGCATGTTATTATATTAAATTAAATTATATTAAACATTAAATATAACATGCATTACTGTAATATAGTAAATATTATAGTAAATATTAAATAAATTACTATATTACTATATTTACTATATACTTACTATATTTATACATATTTACTGTATGTAATATAGTAAATATTAAACATGTAACATAGTAAATATTGGTAAATATTTACTAATATTTGTAATACTAATAGTAATAGTAATATTACAATATGTAATATAGTAAATTATAGCTAATATTTACTATATGTAATATAGTAAATATATAGCTATATATTTACTATATGTAATATAGTAAATATGTAATAACTACCAATAATTATTTATATGTATCTATTACATGTAACTGGACAAAACAAGTCAGGCAGTTGAAAAATATTTATACTTATTACATCTTTAAAAATAATTCACATCTAATACAAATATTTTAAAACACAAATGGAAAGTATTAGAAAGCTTTTTACAATTTTATAGGGTACTCATGGGGTAAACTTAAATTTGGGGTTTTTGTATAAAGGCTTCATAGATGTTGCATCTCTTTCAAGGATAGAGTAGACTAGTTAGGTAATGATTTTAGGGACTTATTAGTTTGTAAAATTATACCACAATTCTTTATTTTTAAAAAGTTAAAAATTAAATACATACTTCATGCTAGGAAATCTATTCCTGTGCATGCTTTTGGTTTATTGAGTGACATAATAAATTCGTTGGTAATAATTTATACTTGAGTCATTTGAACTTTGTTCATCACAAAATCAGTTTGCCATAAAATTATATAATTGGTTACAAAGAGGCTTAAACCAAAAATAGACATCAGTCAAAAGCTACAGATAATTGAAGCATTTACTTCTTTCCCATGAAATAAGGTATTTTCCCCATGGCACTGTCATCTGAATTATTTAATAATTTTAAATCTAGGAGTAGATAAAGCATCAAACTTAAAATTAGGTATCCATGTTGCTTGCCTGTCAGTTTGACTTATCCCAGGTATGGAGTTTGGGACTAAATCAATCCCCTGTATCCTGTGATGACTACAGAGATTTCCTCCACCAAAAATCAGATTAAAGCCTTGTTTCTTCAGAGCTGTGAGCACACTACAGCTCTAAGAATCATATTCTGTACTATTTTCTTCCCCTCTTCCAAATGTTATTGCAGTTATTTGGCTGGGGCTTCTGTCTTGCTTTCCAGTCCTTACTTTTCATCCATCACATTTCCCACTATCCCAGTTTCTAAATGACTAGTCCTGTACTCTAGGTTCCTGTTGGAGGCTCTGGCCCCTGCCTAAGTTTTATGTACGCTTCTCGCTAAAGTTGAGTCTCTACTTGGACCTCTTGGACACTACACCGGACCCCACTGGGTGTGAACAGACGTTTCTTCTTCTTCCTACAACAGCATTATCACATGTTTATTTGGTTGTATCTTGAACCCTTCCAGCAACAGAAAGCTCAAAAGCAGGTCATTCCGCTGTTAACTATCTCTAGCTCTTTGAAAGTTCTGCAAATGGACCCATATTCTGACTTGCAGTTCTACTCTTCAGGATTACATAAAAACTGAATGTGGAGATATTTAGAATAAGTAAGTTCAATTTTCGACTGCTGTGATCTGTGGAGACACTGGTTATTGTTACTTGTCCATGCTTCCGGTTCTCAGTATTTTCAAAATGTGGCGCATGGGGCATATTCAGAAGTGGAATTGTTGATTCAAAGAGAAGATGCAATTTTTATTAAAAAAAATAATAATTTCATTGTTCTCAATACTCTTGCATCAGTTAATACTCCCACCAGCAATGCATAAGGTTTCTTAGTCTCCATACCCTTAATAACTTAGTGTAGTCTCAGAATTTACAGTGTTTGCCATAAAAAATAAATAAATGTTACCATGTTTTTCTAATATGATGTGTTAGGTTGAACTTTTTTTATTCGTTTAGAATGGAATTTATTTACATTGACTGATGAATCTTACGCCCATTTAAATATTGAACTAAAGTTGTCATTCCTATTGGTTACAGTGAGCTTGAAATTAATCAGATAAAGTAGACGTTTGTTTATGATATTAAGTAAAAATATGTTTTCTCAGACTTCTTTTTCTTTGGTAATGGGATTTCATGTAATGAGGAATTCTTTTTCAAATTTTTAAAGATTCATTTTTATCAATCTTTTCTGGCCTATAACTTTTATCTTTTACTTGAATAAACCTGTCAGTTATCAGAATATTAAAAATGACTCACCTATTCCTTTTTCTAATACTTTGGTGATTTTTTAAATATTTAAGTTGTTGAGCCATCTGTTAATTTATGTGAAAAGTGAGAAGTAGAAATCTAACTAGTTTGTTAAAGAGGGCAACTATTAAAATATTGTTTCTTTTTCTTTTTTTATTATACTTTATGTTCTAAGGTACATGTACACAATGTGCAGGATTGTTACATAGGTATACATGTGCCATGTTGGTGTGCTGCACCCATCAACTCATCATTTCCATTAGCTATTTCTCCTAATGCTATCCCTCCCACAGCCCACCACCCCACAACAGTCCCTGGTGTGTGATGTGCCCCTCCCTGTGTCCACATGTTCTCATTGCTCAACTCCCATTTATGAGTGAGAACGTGTAGTGTTTGGTTTTCTCTCCTCGTGATAGTTTGCTGAGAATGATGGTTTCCATCTTCATCCATGTCCCTGCAAAGACATGAACTCATCCTTTTTTATGGCTGCATAGTATTCCACGTTGTATATGTGCCAAATTTTCTTTATCCAGTCCATTATTGATGGACATTTGGGTTGGTTCCAAGTTTTTGCTATTGTGAATAGTGCCACAATAAACACACATGTGCATATGTCTCTATAGTAGCATGATTTATAATCGTTTGGGAATATACCCAGTAATGGGATTTCTAGGTCAAATAGTATTTCTAGTTCTAGATCCTTTTGGATCTAGGAATAAGCCACACCATCTTCCACAATGGTTGAACTAATTTACACTCCCACCAACAGTGTAAAAGCATTCCTGTTTCTCCACATCCTCTCGAGCATCTGTTGTTTCCCGACTTTTTAATGATTGCCACTCCAACTGGCATGAGATGCTATCTCATTGTGGTTTTGATTTTCATTTCTCTAATAACCAGTGATGATAAGCATTTTTTCATATGTCTGTTGGCTGCATAAATGTCTTCTTTTGAGAAGTGTCTGTTCATATCCTTTGCCCACTTTTTGATTGGGTTATTTGTTTTTTACTTGTAAATTTGTTTAAGTTCTTTGCAGATTCTGTATATTAGCCCATTGTCAGAGGGATAGATTACAAAAATTTTCTCCCATTCTGTAGGTTGCCTGTTCAGTCTGCTGATAGTTTCTTTTGCTGTGCAGAAGGTCTTTAGTTTAATCAGATCCCGTAGTCTATTTTTGGCTTTTGTTGCCATTGCTTTTGGTGTTTTAGTCATAAAGTCTTTGCCCATGCCTATGTCCTGAATGGTATTGCCTAGGTTTTCTTCTAGGCTTTTTATGGTTTTAGGTCTTACACCCACGGAACCCAGCAAGCTAAGATCCGTTGGCTTGAAATTCTAGCACAGCAGTCTGAGATCAACCTGGGACGCTGGAGCTTGGCAGGGGGAGGGGTGTCTGCCATTGCTGAGGCTTGAGTAGGCAGTTTTATGCTCACAGTGTAAACAAGCTGCCGGGAAGCTTGAACTGGACGGGGCCCACTGAAGCTAAGCAAGGCCGACTGCCTCTTTAGATTCCACCTCTGTGGGCAGGGCATATCTGAAAAAAAGGCAGCAGCCCCAGTCAGGGACTTCTAGATAAAACCCTCATCCCCCTGGGACAGAGCACCTGGGGGAAGGGGCAGCTGTGGGCACAGCATCTGCAGACTTAAACATCCCTGCCTGACAGCACTGAAGAGAGCAGTGGTTCTCCAAGCACAGCGTTCAAACTCTGATAATGGACAGACTGCCTCCTTAAGTGGGCCCCTGACCCCTGTGTAGCATGATTGGGAGACATCTCCCAGTAGGGGCCGACAGAATCTCATATAGGAGAGCTCTGGCTGGCATCTGGTGGGTGCTCCTCTGGGAAGAAGTTTCCAGAGGAAGGATCAGGAAGTAATATTTGCTGTTCTGCAGCATCTGCTGGTGATACCCAGGCAAACAGGGTCTGGAGTCAACCTCCAGCAAACTCCAACAGACCTGAAGCTGAGAGGCCTGACTGTTAGAAGGAAAACTAACAAACAGAAAGGAATAGCATCAACATCAACAAAAAGGACATCCACACCAAAACGCCATATGTAGGTCACCAACATCAAAGACCAAAGGTAGATAAAACCACAACGATGGGGAAAAACCAGAGGAGAAAGGTTGAAAATTCCAAAAACCAGAATGCCTCTTCTCCTCCAAAGGAACACAACTCCTTGCCAGCAAGGGAACAAAACTGGATGGAGAAAGAGTTTGACAAGTTGACAGAAGTAGGCTTCAGAAGGTGGGTAATAACAAACTTCTCTGCGCTAAAGGAGCATGGTCTGACCCATCGAAGGAAACTAAAAATCTTGAAAAAAGGTTAGAGGAATGGCTAACTAGAAGAACCACTGTAGAGAAGAGCATAAATGACCAGATAGAGCTGAAAAACACAGCACGAGAACTTCATGAAGCATACACAACAAGAAAACCTAGGCAATACCATTCAGGACATAGGCATGGGCAAAGACTTTATGACTAAAATACCAAAAGCAATACACCAATGGAACAGAACAGAGCCCTCAGAAATAATGCTGCATATCTACAACCATCTGATCTTTGACAAACCTGACAAAAACAAGAAATGGGGAAATGATTCCCTATTTAATAAATGGTGCTGGGAAAACTGGCTAGCGATATATAGAAAGCTGAAACTGGATCCCTTCCTTACACCTTATACAAAAATTAATTCAAGATGGATTAAAGACTTAAATATTAGATGTAAAACCATAAAAAGCCTAGAAGAAACCCTAGGCAATACCATTCAGGACATAGGCATGGACAAGGACTTCATGTCTAAAACACCAAAAGCAATGGCAACAAAAGACAAAATTGACAAATGGGATCTAATTAAACTAAAGAGCTTCTGCACAGCAAAAGAAACTACCATCACAGTGAACAGGCAACCTACAGAATGGGACAAAATTTTTGCAATCTACTCATCTGACAAAGGGCTAATATCCAGAATCTACAATGAGCTCCAACAAATTTACAAGAAAAAAACAAACAGCCCCATCAAAAAGTGGGCAAAGGATATGAACAGAAACTTCTCAAAAGAAGACATTTATGCAGCCAAAAGACACATGAAAAAATGCTCATCATCACTGGCCATCAGAGAAATGCAAATCAAAACCACAATGAGATACCATCTCACACCAGTTAGAATGGCAATCATTAAAAAGTCAGGAAACAACAGGTGCTGGAGAGGATGTGGAGAAATAGGAACACTTTTACACTGTTGGTGGGACTGTAAACTAGTTCAACCATTGTGGAAGACAGTGTGGCAGTTCCTCAGGGATCTAGAACTAGAAATACCATTTGACCCAGCAATCTCATTACTGGGTATATACCCAGAGGATTATAAATCATGCTGCTATAAAGACACATGCAGATGTATGTTTATTGCGGCACTATTCACAGTAGCAAAGACTTGGAACCAACCCAAATGTCCAACGATGATAGACTGGATTAAGAAAATGTGGCCCATATACACCATGGAATACTATGCAGCCATAAAAAATGATGAGTTCCTGTCCTTTGCAGGGACATGGATGAAGCTGCAAACCCTCATTCTCAGCAAACTATAGCAAGGACAAAAAAACCAACCACCGCATGTTCTCACTCATAGGTGGGAACTGAACAATGAGAACACATGGACACAGGAAGGGGAACATCACACACCAGGGCCTGTTGTGGGGTGGGGGGAGGGGGGAGGGATAGCATTTGGAGATATACCTAATGTGAAATGACGAGTTACTGGGTGCAGCACACCAACATGGCACATGTGTACATATATAACTAACCTGCATGTTGTGCACATGTACCCTAAATCTTAAAGTATAATAAAATAAATAAATAAGTAAACAAATAAATAAATAAAAGAATTTTCAACCCAGAATTTCATATCCAGCCAAGCTAAGCTTCATAAGTGAAGGAGAAATAAAATCCTTTACAGACAAGCAAATGCTGAGATATTTTTGTCACCATCAGGCCTGCCTTATAAGAGCACCTGAAGGGAGCACTAAACATGGAAAGGAACAAGCAGTACCAGCCACTGCAAAAACATGCCAAATTATAAAGACCATCGACGCTATGAAGAAACTGCATCAACTAACGGGCAAAATAACCAGCTAGCATCAGAATGACAGGATCAAATTCACACATAAAAATATTAACCTTAAATGTAAATGGGCTAAATGCTCCAATTAAAAGACACAAACTACCAAATTGGATAAAGAATCAAGACCCATCAGTATGCTGTATTCAGGAGACACATCTCATGTGCAAAGACACACATAGGCTCAAAATAAAGGGATGGAGGAAGATCTACCAAGCAAATGGAAAGCAAAAAAAAGCAGGAGTTGCAATCCTAATCTCTGACAAAACAGACTTTAAACCAACAAAGATCAAAAGAGACAAAGAAGGCCATTATATAATGGTAAAGGGATCAATGCAACGAGAAGAGCTAACTGTCTTAAATATATATATACCCAATACGGGAGAACCCAGATTCATAAAGCAAGTCCTTAGAGACCTACAAAGAGACTTAGACCCCCACACAATAATAACGGGAGACTTTAACACCCCACTGTCAATATTAGACAGCTCAACGAGACAGAAAATTAGTAAGGATATCCAGGACTTGAACTCATCTCTGGCCCAAGCAGACATAATAGAAATCTACAGAACTCTCCACCCCAAATCAATGGAATATGTTTTCTTCTCCTCACAACATCAAATTTATTCTAAAATTGACCACATAATTGGAAGTAAAACACTCCTCAGCAAAAGTAAAAGAACAGAAATCACAACAAACTGTCTCTAAGACCACAGTGCAATAAAATTAGAACTCCAGATTAAGAAACTCACTCAAAACCACACAACTACATGGAAACTGAACAACCTGCTCCTGAATGACTACTGGGTAAATAACGAAAGGAAGGCAGAAATAAAGATGTTCTTTGAAACCAGTGAGAACAAA
The DNA here is from genome assembly GCF_000001405.40 of Homo sapiens. NCBI lineage: Eukaryota > Metazoa > Chordata > Mammalia > Primates > Hominidae > Homo > Homo sapiens. The sequence continues at coordinate 96,724,366 of NC_000011.10, read as the reverse complement.
GACACAATGTACCAGAATCTCTGGGACACATCTAAAGCAGTATGTAGAGGGAAATTTATAGCACTAAATGCCCACAAGACAAAGCAGGAAAGATCTAAAATCAATACCCTAACATCACAATTAAAGGAACTAGAAAAGCAAGAGTAAACACATTCAAAAGCTAGCAGAAGACAAGAAATAACTAAGATCAGAGCAGAACTGAAGGAGATAGAGACACAAAAAACCGTTCAAAACATTGATGAATCCAGGAGCTGGTTTTTTGAAAAGATCAACAAAATAGACCACTAGCAAGACTAATAACGAAGAAAAGAGAGAAGAATCAAATAGAACCAATAAAAAATGATAAAGAGGATATCACTACCAATCTCACAGAAATAGAAACTACCATCAGAGAATACTATAAACACCTCCACGCAAATAAACTAGAAAACCTAGAAGAAATGGATAAATTCCTGGACATATACACCTTCCCAAGACTAAACCAGGAAGAAGTTGAATCTCTGAATAATAGACCAATAACAGGTTCTGAAATTGAGGCAATAATTAATAGCCTACCAACCAAAAAATGTCCAGGACCAGAAGTATTCACAGCTGAATTCTACCAAAGGTACAAAGAAGAGCTGTTACCATTCCTTCTGAAACTATTCCAATCAATAGAAGAAAAGGAAATCTTCCCTAACTCATTCTATGAAGCCAGCATTTTCCTGTTACCAAAGCCTGGCACAGACAAAAGAAAAAAAGGAGAATTTTAGGCCAATATCCCTGATGAACGTCGATGCAAAAATCCTCAATAAAATACTGGCAAACCAAATCCAGCAGCACATCAAAAAGCTTATCCACCATCATCAAGTCAGCTTCATCCCTGGGATGCAACACTGATTCAACATACACAAATCAATAAATGTAATCCATCACATAAACAGAGCCATCAACAAAAATCACATGATTATCTCAATAGATGCAGAAAAGGCCTTCAACAAAATTCAACAGCCCTTCATGCTAAAAACTCTCAATAAACTATGTATTGATGGAACATATCTCAAAATAATAAGAGCTATTTATGACAAACCCACAGCCAATATCATACTGAATGAAAAACTGGAAGCATTCCCTTTGAAAACCGGCAGAAGACAAGGATGCTCTCTCTCATCACTCCTATTCAACATAGTATTGGAGGTTCTGGCCAGGGCAATCAGGCAAGAGAAAGAAATAAGGGGTATTCAATTAGGAAAAGAGGAAGTCAAATTGTCTCTGTTTGCAGATGACATGATTTTATATTTAGAAAACTCAATCGTCTCAGCCCAAAATCTCCTTAAGCTGATAAGCAACTTCAGCAAAGTCTCAGGATACAAAATCAGTGTGTGAAAATCACAGCCATTCCTATACTCCAATAATAGACACATAGAGAGCCAAATCGTGAGTGAACTCCCATTCACAACTGCTACTAAGAGAATAAAATACCTAGGAATCCAACTTACAAGGGATGTGAAGGACCTCTTCAAGGAGAACTACAAACCACTGCTCAACGAAATAGAAGAGGACACAAACAAATGGAAGAACATTCCATGCTCATGGATAGGAAGAATCAATATCATGAAAATGGCCATACTACCCAAAGTAATTTATAGATTCAATGCTATCCCCATCAAGCTACCACTGACTTTCTTCACAGAATTGGAAAAAACTACTTTAAATTTCATACGGAACCAAAAAAGAGCCCATATAGCCAAGACAATCCTGGGCAAGAAGAACAAACCTGGAGGCATCATGCTACCTGACTTCAAACTATACTACAAGGCTACAGTAACCAAAACAGCATGGTACTGATACCAAAACAGATATATATACCAATGGAACAGAACAGAGGCCTCAGAAATAACACCACAGATCCACAACCATCTGATCTTTGAAAAACCTGACACAAACAAGCAATGGGGAAAGGATTCTCTGTTTAATAAATGGTACTGGGAAAACTGGCTAGCCATATGTAGAAAGCTGAAACTGGATCCTTTCCTTACACCTTATACAAAAATTAAATCACGATGCATTAAAGACTTAAATGTAAGACCTAAAATATTATTTCTTACACTGTTGTAAAACATACTATACCAAATTTCCATATGTGTTTAGGTTTACTTATGAATTTTAAAATTTCATAAAACTAGTCTGCTTATTCCTATGCTGGTATAAATCTTTAATTATTATATCTTTATAACATGATTTAATATCTGAAATGCTAGTTTCCTCTAATTATTCCATCTTTTTCTAAGGTTTGTCTGTCTATTCTTCTATGTAAACCTTAGAATTGTCTTTAGTTCAAAAAAAAGAAATCATGTTGGTATTTAGGTGTACTTATATTATTAATAAATATATAACAAGTTATAATGAAATTTTCATATGAATTTAAAATTCTAAAGTAAGGAGAACATATCTTTTTATAATACTGAGACTTTTTGTCATACAAAATTTGTCTCTCCACTAAATCATGTATGATTTTATACCCTTCAATATCATTTTTACCTACATAGAGCTTCAAACACATTTTTCAGGTATTTTATATGTTGCTTACTTAAGTTGACCTTTGAATAATGCAGAGCCTGGGGGTACTGATTCCCACATAGTTGAAAATCCTTTTTTTTTTTTTTTTTTTTGAGATGGGATCTCACTCTGTCTCCCAGGCTGGAAGTGCAGTAGCACAAACTCGACTCACTGCAACCTCTGCCTCCCAGGTTCAAGGGGGTCCTCCCACCTCAGGCTCCTGAGTAGCTGGGATTCCAGAAATACGCCACCATATCTGGCTAATTTTTTTGTATCTTTGGAAGAGACGGGGTTTTGCCATGTTGCCCAGGCTGGTCTCAAACTCCTAAGCTCAGTAGATCCACCTGCCTCAGCCTCCCAAAGGGCTGGGATTGCAGGTGTGAGCCACACCATGCCAGCCACTATGTATAATTTTTGACTCACCCAATAACTGCTATTAACCTACTGTTGACCAAAAGCTTTACTGACAACACGAAGCCAATTAACACATATTTTGTATTTCATATGTATTATATATTGTATTCTTATATTAAAATAGAGAAAAGAAATTGTTATTAAGAAAATCATAAGGAAGAGAAAATATACTTTTCATCAAGTGGAAATGCATCATCAAAGATCTTCATTCTCCTCATTTTCACATTGAGTAGGCTAAGGAGGAACAAGAGGAGGGGTTGATCTTGCTGTCTTGGGGTGGCAGAGGCAGACGAGGTAGAGAAGTTGGGAGGGTAGGCAAGAGAGGCAAGCATACTCAGTGTAACATTATGGAAATACATCATAATTTCTAACTTTTTTTCCTTTCTCTAAAAATGTTCCTATACTTTATACATTTTTCTTTCACCATAAGAAAAACTGATTTAGTTTTTTCAGTGCCCATATCATGGAAGTGTCCATGTTGTAAACGAAGTCAAAAGCAGTCTTGAATAATCAGAACCATTCTGCTACACTGTCTAATGTCAATTTGTTTTCTGAAACTGCTTCTTCATCTTTTCATTGCCTGGTTATAGCTCAGAAGCACTCATCTCCATCAAGTCATCATCTGTTAATTTCTCTGATGTGGTGTCTATTAGTTCATGAACTTCTCCAAGATCCATATCGTGAAATCCTTCACCTCCACTCCCCAACTTTTTTTTCTACAATATCTACAATCTCTTTCATGATATCCTTGACTGGCTCTGTTGTAAATCCTGTGAAGTCATGCACAACATCTGGACACAATTTTCTCCAGCAGCAATTTACTGTTTCAAGCTTAATAGCTTTCACAGCTTTTTCTATAATAATGACATCTTCAGTGGTGTAATCCTTCCAGCCTTTCCTAATGTTCTCTATATTCTCTGTACCAGGGTTTCTTTTTTTCATAGCATTGACAATCCTTTCCATAAAGTACCATGGGTAATGAGCCTTAAGGTCCTATGAGCCCCTGATCTAGAAGTTAAATTAGAAATGATGTGTCTGCAGGCAATTAGATCACTTCAACACTGTTGGTGTTGAACTCATGGGGTTCTGGGTGGCCACGGGCATTGTTCAATATCAAAAGAACTTTAAAAGGCAATCCCTTACTGGTGAGGGACTTCCTTACTCCAGGGACAAAGCATCAATGCAAAGGACTCAGAAAAAGGGTTCTTATTGTCCAGGACTTCTTGTGGTACAACCAAAAGACTGGCAGCTAGTGTTTATCATTCCCCTTCAAGGCTCAAGACTTAGCAAATTTATAGATAAAGGCAGTCCTAATCATAAACCTAACTGCATTAGGTCAAAACGGTAGAGTTGGCCTATCCCTTCCTGCCTAAATCTTGGTGCTCACTTCTTTTCCTTACATGAATAAATGTCCTGTGTGGCTTTTTTTTTTTTTTTCTCTCTCCAGAATAGGGTACGTTTGTCTTCATTGAAAACCTGTTCAGGTAGATATCCCTTCTCCTTGATGATTTTTTTAATGGTATCTGGGAACTCATTTGCTGCCTCTTCTTTGTCAGCAGAAGCTGCTTCTCTTGTTATCTTTACATTTTTTAAGCCAAACTTCTTTCTTAAATTGTCAAACTACAATTTGGTGGCATTAAACTCTCCAGCTTTCGATCCTTCACCTTTCTTTTGCTCTCAGTTGTCATGTAATGACTTTGCTTTTTCTGCAATCACATTAGAGTCTATATGTATGCCTTTCTGATAGCAATTCTGAACCAAAATAAAATCTGCATTATCAATATGAGATAAAAACGTATTTCACAAAAAGCATAGGTTTTGCACCTGCTACTATAGCTGCAGCAATAGCTTTGTGAATTTCTTTTTTTTTTTTTTTTTGTACAATGGTCCTTACATTAGATTCATTTATCTTTAAATGGTGGGCAACCGCAGATGCAGACCTTAATCTATAGTAGATATTAAGCAATTCCACTTCTTCTTGTAATGTCATGACTTCGCTGTGCTTCTTGGGAAAATTCCCAGCATCACTAGTGGCACTTTGTGTGGATCCTATGGTGTTATTTAAGGTTTACTATATAGCACAACATACAATGAAAAACTATGTGAGAGCTGTGACTGATCACTTTTAACAGATATACAATTTATTGCAGAGACGAATTACGTGAAGATGATTAGCATCACAATGTGTTTTAAAGGGATACTGGCAACACTTGAGCTCACTGCCATAGCAACAGGAGGTGACTACGAAATTATTACAGTAATACTTTATGTACTATAGTTAATTTTATGCAGTTATGATTTAATAGCACATCTTTATATTTGTTACATTTCTCTCGACTGTGAATGAGAGTGCAATGTACGGGTCTACAGGTGTTTGTGCGTGTATGTTTTAATAAATTTTAACTTTTTATAATAGATTTTTTTATATTTTATGGTAGTAAATACAATATCTACATATATCTTATGCATTCATGACTTTTTTGATATTTCTAGATCATGCGGTTCTTCTGAGAGTTTTTCAAATTGTTGCAAATCTCCATAAAATTTTACAATATATTCACTGAAAACATGTTGCATATAAGTAGACCCATGCAGTTCAAACTTGCATTCTTTGAGAGTCAACTGTACTTACTGAGAATTTTGGTTCTAAAATAATTTTGTTCTAAAATAATTATTTTTTTATTTTGTTCTAAAATAATTATTTGCATGTTAATTAACTTGACTGTGGTGAAGATTTCATAATATTTACCAAATCATCAAGTTTGATGATATCAAATCATTGAGGTTGTACATCTTAAATAGATATACTTTTTAATCATTGAGAAAGCCTCAATAAAATTAGGAAAATAAGAAAATAAAATAATTATGGCTAAATTGATTTTTATATAGCTGGTATCTGACTTGCTTTGATATTTGACTTAATTATTTGATATTGGATTTTCATTAGTTCTAATAGTTTTCAGTTACGTCTCTTTCTAAGAACGCTTGTTAAATACTGTAAATAAATATAGGTATCTACATATTTTTCTAGTTCAGTGATTATAGTTTATCATTTTTGTTTCATGACCCATGGTCATGACCCATGCATTGATCATAACTTTTAGAGTCAGAGTAAAATAATAGTGATCACAGAGATATTCTTTTTCTCTTAAATTTCAAGAGAAATATCTCTGATACAATATAAAGTATGGAATACGTAAATAGGAACATTATTACATTGTAGAAATACTCTTATTACTAGAATGCTAACCTTAATTTGGGAAAGAATGTTTAAGGTCTTTGCTCTTGTTTTGTTTTCTTTTGTTTTTGGACATCTAGTAAGAAGTTATGTTTTCTCCCTTACAAATCAATGTTATAAAAGAAAATAATAACTGAAAGTAAAAAGGGATTTATGAACATTTTATGTTAGTTTGGTTTGTCACAATTAATTGATCATTCCCTCTACAAATATTGATTTCATGCATATCAAGTGTCTGCATTCATTAATTACCCAATAATTTTTCAATCAAGAAAAGAGTTAGATATTGTTTCACATAATTCCATTTCATCTCAATTTTTTCACCTCCCTATTGCTCCTAAATACCTCCCTTAAAAGTATTAAGTAAGTATGATAGTTCGTATATGTGTTGACCTTGTGCATTTTTTAATAAGTAAATTCTTATCGATTGAACCCTTTTGTGCATGAAAATATAGTAGAATGAATAAGTGGAAAAGCTCTAGAAAGAGAATGCCTGGGTTCTAAATCCTAGTTCTCCCACTTACTAGATGTTATTGTATTTCACCAGTTTAAGGATTCACGTTTTTCACATTTTGACATCTCAAAGTGATTGTCTTCTTGACATACATGGCACAGTCATAATTTAACTCAGTGTTTTCTCTCATAGTGTTAAGATAAAATAATTATGTATCTTATAATGAATGAGATAAACAATAAGTTAAAATGTTGACCTTGGATATGTTATGTAATTATATGTTACAATTTAATTAATACAATAATCACTTAGAGACTTACAATAAAACATTAAATGTATTACATGTAAAGACATCTACAACTGTATCAGATATTTAGTAAGCGCTCGATACTATATATTTGTTATTGCTTGAAAATTAAAGATTAGTCATACCAAATGCCCACTACTGTACTTAAACTCTAACAAATGTCAAACAAGAATGAGCTAGATACTTTTCTATATTTTCTCACATTTAGTCCACACAACAGCCTAATACTTATAATATTATCCCCATATAATAGATTTTAAAAAGTTTATAGCAAATTACTACCTCAAAATCAAATAATGAAAGTAGCAAAACCATGAATCAGTTGCAGATTTTTTCTTTTTGTTTTCCTTTTGTTTTGATACAGAGTTTCCCTCTTTTGCCCAGGCTGGACTGCAGTGGTGCCATCTTGGCTCACTGAAACCTTGCTCAGCCCCTGGGGCTCAAGTAATTCTCAAGCCTCAGCCTCTGGAGTAGCTGGGACTACAGGCACGCCACCAGGCCTGTCTAATTTTTTTGTATTTTTAGTAGAGATGGAGTTTTGCCATGTTGGTCAGGCTGGTCTCGAATTCCTGGCCTCAAGTGATCCACCCATCTCGGCCTCCCAAAGTGCTGAGATTACAGGTGTGAGCCACCAAGCCCAGGCAAGTCATAGATTTTTTTTCTGACTCCAATAGCTATACCCTTTCACATCTTAAAAAATACATATCTAAAAATTTACCGTATAATGATTACAACTAAAGGAATAAAATTATTTCATGTGTTTTATAATGTTATTCAAGTTAAGTAGAACAGGAATAATATAAAGGCCTAGAAGTTATAAACACCATTAACACTTTGATTCCTTCATTCTCTAATATCATATTCATAGCTAGAAGATTAATTCATTTAAGATAGTCTTTGACAAGTTCCCAATTAAATCTAAATAATATTTCTTTTTTAGAACTTCACAATTTCAAAAATATTCACACTTGTAATCACAGCACTTTGGGAGGCTGAGGCAGGACAATCACTTGAGGCCAGGAGTTTGAGACCAGCCTGGGCAACATAGCAAGAGCCCATCTCTACAAAAAAAAAATGTTTTAATTAGCTGGGGTGGTGGCACATGCTTGTAGACCCAGCTACTTGGGAGGCTGAGGCATGATGAAGCCACTGCACTCCAGACTAGGCAACAGAGTGAGACCCTGTCTCTAAAAATTATATATATATATATAAATCATTAGAGTATTTCAAAATACACATGTATGTTACAATCTAGTAAGTGAATAAAAACACTTCAAGCAACACTGAAATATAAATGCTGTTAAGGGAAATTTCCTTTGATTTCATCGACATAATCAATTTGACAGATCACAAAATAGATTACAGAAAAATGTCAACTGATTGCCTTTAATATATGAATCTTGATAAAAATGGTATCCAATTTAATATATCAAGTTTACCTAAATGCATTTGTCTGCTGACACATTGTGAAATAGATTGCTGGGATCAATAAGAAGAAGAACTGCTGAGAGGCTGAGTTCCTGAAACCTCTGAAATATTCATCATCAATTTTTTTATCAGTTATTTAGTAATCAAGCTTTTACATCGTGATATCCAGACTGAATATGTAATTAATGGGAAAATGAAATGTCAAGGAAAAATGCAGCCAATGAGTTGCTTATTTAAATATACTGTTTCATTAAAAAGAGACTCTTTAACACTTGTTTATAAAATTCTAATAGCGACTGTCCTCATCTTCTGTCAACATCTTAATAGCCTCATATTTGTTTTCTAAAAATTTATCTTCTCCTAATAAATCACTCTTCAAGAGCCCTGGCATCTAATTACTTATTTAAACTTATTTGTTATATCAACTTATAATGAAGATGAAGCCTATTAGAGAAGGCAGTTCATTTCAAGTTCAAACAATGAGCAACCATAACTCAGGAATTCAGCAAGCAGAACCGATGCTCAAAAAGTGATGAAAAACAATTCAAGTTCATGCCAGGACATAGTATCCTAAGAATATCTTCGAACTTTCCCATTTAAGTGCCAAATTCTGAGTCAGCGTTTTAGATCTTTCTAAATTTCTGCTTTTATACTTCTGCTAACAGGAATTATCTACCCACTAAGTAAAAGCAATAATTGCACAAAATAAATAGGGAGATAATTAATTAGTATAATAAACAGTAAGTGATTGCTTTAACACACTGAAATAACAAGGGAAGCTAGTCTGTCTCTTTGTTTCTTCCTAAAGGCAGGAGAGAAACATGCCTTCAGTGACATGAGTACAGATGGGCATAATTGTCTGATGAAACTGAACCTTACCACTGGAACTGACTATCCACACCACTGAGATTTTCCTCACTGTGAAGGAACTCCCAGTGAATATATTTTGCTTCTACTAGTACTCTTCATTCCTAAGTAACTTGATAAAAAGTCTCTACATCTGGGAGAAAGATTCCATGCATTGAAATGGAATTTGCAATAATTAGATTTTCTTAATATAATCTCTGACACCCTAACCATGTGCCTAATCCAATTTAGATTTTATCGTCTTTGGTTTGGCTCTGTGTCCTCACCCAAATCTCATCATGTAGCTTCCATAACTCCCATGTGTTGTGGGAGGGACCCAGTGGGAGTTGATTGAATTATGGGTGCGGGTCTTTCCCTGCTGTTCTCATGATATTGAATGGGGCTCACCATATCTGATGGTTTCAAAAAATGGGAGTTGCCCTGCACAAGCTCTCTTTCTGCCTGCCACCATCCAAGTAAGATGTGACTTGCTCCTCCTTGTCTTACACCATGATTGTGACGCTTTCCCAGCCACGTGGAACTGTAAGTCCAATTAAACCCCCTTCTTTTGTAAATTGCCCAGTCTCTGGTATATCTTTGTCATACATACATACATACATACATACATACATACATACATACATGAGAATGGACTCATACACCAAGTGATTAGAAATGAGAATTGCCCAGCTTCTTGTAATAATCAAAAAGAGGGCTACAATTCTAGTCTAACTTCTAAAGGAATACCTGGTTAATATAAAGACATTCAAGAGGGAGAGAGCATCGGAGCGTAAATCTGGATAATAAGTACTGGCCACCACAAGGAGCTGGGGCTGAGTCCCAACCTAAGATTGTGACATTTTCAGAAAGGCTAAGGGATGAAAGAGATCTTAGAGAATTCAAGAACGAGCATCACCTTCAAAATCAGAAGATGCTGAGTCCATTTGGGAAAAGGAGAAGTCATTAACACTGGGCCATTTTTAATTTTATATTCTGGGCAAACAGCAACGTAACTCATCCCTGTGTTATCAGAATCAGCCTCTAGCTCTTATAAGTGGATTATCTATGTATTCCTCAATAGTTTACTTAGATAACCCTGAAGAACAAGAAGAAAATCTTTAATTCTGCTTTTCTTCCAAATACCATTAATGTTTATAGGGTCTTTATACCTACTCATACCTTTACAATCACAATGGCTCAGAGACTTAATTTATTTTCCCCCACAAGAGACTGCGGATAAAAAAAGAATTCTGCTGCAGTGAGGATTCACAGTATAAAGGTCAGGTTTCCAGTTCAGGAGAGTCATTATATTCAAACAATAACATGGAAAAATTCTTTATTTATTTAACATGACAGGAAAACAATTCATGAAGAGGGTTCAGTGAAATTGACAACTTTAACAAGCAACCTGGGAAATCTGTGTATTTGAGAAACTTCTTTTCTCTGTTTTTAAATTATATGCAGAACGCTTCAGAAATAACAGGAATAACTTCTCTTTCACCACTCTTTGAGACTTTCTGAAGTCTATAAAAGTATTTGATAAAAGGTTATCTTGCATCTGTAGCAGTAATAGGACAAATACTAAACATCAAAAGTGAGAATGTGACAAATATTTTGACACAATCGTACAATCACAGTGACATATACAATAAAGTATTAGAGATAAAGAAAAATACTCTGACAGTATGTCAAGTGCAGACACTTTCATATCAAAAGAGATAACAAAATACAATTACAGTACAGAAAAAAATAAAAATAAAAAGGAGGGGAGGGAACAGATTGATCTTGGAACCAAATGCTGAGATTTCAAAGTGAATTTAACAGAAAATAGCACTAATATGCCTTTGGCTGCCACGATGACAATGGCATAATTGACACACTCTCGGGAAAAGAAAATAATTGGTTTCATCAAGCAGAGGAGAAAAAGTGTTGTCTATCAAGCAGTGACAGAAGTCATGGCAGATGCCCAGCCATCAAGGAAGAGCAAGGGCCTGCTCTAGCTCTGCAAGGGGGCAACCCAGAAAACACCACCACCTAACACATTGCGAATCCTTTTCAAATCAGAAACTGAATGTATTACTTTATTTTCATTGGATGCATTTTGCTAAGAATTAAATATCACAGTAGTTCCTAATAGAAGTTCATTTCTAGACAGCAAAAATAAAGCCTACATTTTGACTTGGCAGTTTTGTGGGAGCTAATCTATGGAGCAGTAACAAAATCGTTTTTAGGGAAAAAAAAAGGTAGTTTTAGCAGTTGACATACTGGAGGCAATAATTACAGGCCTTTGATTTATGAATCTGAATGTATTTGATAATAGGAGACTAATTACACTTGAATCTCATACAGTAAGTACAAATGTTACATTCCACTCCCTGCTATAAAAAATTGCCCATGTGCATGGTGGTGCATGCCTGTAGTCCCAGCTACTCAGGAGGTTGAGGCAGGAGAATCGCTGGAACCCAGGAGGCGGAGGTTGCAGTGAGCCGAGATTGCACCACTGCACTCCAGCCGGGCGACAGAGACTCCATCTTAAAAAATAAATAAAATAAATTAAAAAAATTGTCCATCTGTAATTTTTGTAGTCTATATAATCAAGGACATGGGAACAAGAAGGTTAAGCAAGAGGGGATACCATCAAATAAATTTAATATCATAATTGCTCTGATAATTGTATAGATGATAGATTATATCAATATTTTAAAAAATATTATTTGTTATTAGAAAATCATTGAGAATGTTTTTCATGCTGAAAAATGTGTGCCTTACAGTCAGTCACCTTCTCTAGTAAAATACTAAGTCTAGGTCTCCACTCTATTAGGGCTAAACTAGTTTGAACTGGAGGACTGTAAGATGGAGAAAATTACAAATACAGTGATCTAGCAAACTGTTAACGGGATCTTCAAAGAATGAAATTGAAAATATGTAAAGTCACTGGAAACCCAATAACAAAATACTTTCACTTACAAGATAATCATAATCACTATTAGAAAGGTAGCCAAAATCAATGAGTACTATTTCTTTTCACCTCTGTTTCATTTAGATTCAAATCAATAAGTATACTGGCTCTCCCTCCTCTACAGTATGCGTATCTTGCCTTTCTGCCCATAAGTCATTAGAAAGCATCAATTCACCATCAGAAAGAATCCTACCTTCCTTGGAGCTAATCAGAAAAACTTGAAGTTGAGAAAAAGATAAAAACGTTTCTTTACTCTTCTCCTCATGTCACCTTTCTTTTCTACCACTCCCTCCTGCAGGGTACCAGCTTCATCTTGCCATTGTCCCATATACTTCAACTGGCACACCCCATTCCAGCCTGGATATTCACGTTCCTTAAAGTGGATTACCTACATGACAAATAGCCTTTTCTCTTGCTATTCTTAAGGAGCTTGCATAAAATTCCTTTGATATCTCATTATGTCTTAAACCACTTGGAGTAGGATTTGAAGAGACAACTGAGGGAAATAGGCAGACAACTTCATATTTATCTACCTCTCACTTGGCAAGATGGTGTCATGATTAAGACTATGGACTCTGAAAGCAGTCTTCCTGAGTTTCAGTCAGTGTTCAGCTTTTCATTATTTGTGTGAATATTTGTATTAGTCCATTTTGCCACTGATATAAAGATACTTCCTGAGACTGGGTAATTCATAAAGAGAAGAGGTTTAATTGACTCACAGTGTGGCATGGCTGGGGAGGCCTCAGGAAACTTACAATTGTGGCAGAAGGTGAAAGGAGAAGCAAGGCACATCTTACATGGTGGCAAGAAAGAAAGAGAGTGCACAGGGCAAACTACCACTTTTAAAATCATCAGATCTCATAAGAACTCCCTCACTATCACGAGAACAGCAAGAGAGAAATTGCCCCCAGGATCCAATCACTTCCCACCAGGTCCCTTCCTCAACACATGAGGACTACAATTCAAGATGAGATTTGGGTGAGGACACAGGACCAAACCAAATCAATGTTCTTTGTTTTTTTCTCATTATTTACCAATTCTTGGCCTGAATTTTCTCATCTGTAAAATGGAGGTGATAATATGTCTACTTTAATTAGATTATTGACAAATGACATGCAAAATGCCCAATGCTAAGCCTGGCACTAAAGAATCTTTGATAAAAATTAGTTTAACAAGAGGTTACATATGACTTTCATTGTCTTGGATTTTGAACTGAGGTTTAAAAGGCTGAGAATATTATCACGGATGCTTAATATACCATACCCTAAAATGTGGTACTAGACCTTCACAGACTAAATAATGATGGAAGTGGTTCTGATAGTACCTGGGATATATAAGGGAAAGTAAAGGACCTTTCAGGAAGTTAAAGTGAACCGTAGCAAAAATTTCTTTAGAGAGAATACACACAGGGCTGTGGCTGGGAGACGGATGCTTGCCTACACTAAGACTTATGAGGGGACCTGCAGAGAAACATTTAGAGAGTTTGACACATGTTCCTGGGCTTTGGAGACATCTGGTTGTATACAGGTTGTACCTGACTTATGACCAAAGGCACCTAAAAGGTAAGAGCTTGGATGAAGTTGACATAGAAGAGCAAAGTGTCCATTAATTGATGGCAGAGCTAAGGTGCCAAATGTGAACCCCAGAGTAGGGATGGTAGTGATCTATCCTAAATATTGCACCTATCCAATACAGCTGCCTGCCTGGGGTGAGGTGAGCTCAGCAGAGGAGACAGGAGGTGAATCTGAAGAGCCAGAATCTAAGGCAGAAGCTATGACAGTCAGAAAGAGGCAGCACACCTGTGCCAGAAACATCAGGGAAACATCCCCAGGGTTGAGACAGCTGCTCTAAAGGAGCTCCATGCAAGAAAAACCCAGCAAGTGTGCATCTACCATTCTAAAAGCTTTAGTGCCAAATTACAATTGTGCCCATTAGTTATAAAATACATTTTTACTTTTTCAAATAAAAAAGATGGGCAGGTCAGTAAATATATCCTAGAAAATATCATGGCTCAGCTGTAACTCAGCTTACAGAGTCAAAATGCTATAAACACTGAATCGATCTGACAAAAATTACAACATAACTACGTTGAGAGAATGGGCATGGAAAGATTCCTCTTTTTGTAGCAGGGGCTGATGAATGAAGTGTGAAAAAGGAAAAAGACTGTATCATATTTTATAGTGGAAAATCAAAATAATCTAATTGAAAAAATCAAGATGTCAATATAAGCATGTTATTTAGAGATTTAAAAATAAAAGCCAAAACATTAACCAAATGAAGTGAGAGTTCTACCCTGGGTAGAGGAAGAGCCACAAGTTGTGGTGGCACAAGGTGAGGTGGGGAGGTGGGGGGAGTTGATTGGTAGTCAGTGGTGAGAGCTAAGAGACTGAAGATTTTTATAATAAGCTTAAAACATTCGTTGACACCTTATAGCGTATGTGTGTACAACTTTGGTAACAACAAAAACCATAAGGGGGGGGAAAGAAGAAAAGAAAGGAGGAAGGGAGAAAAAAAAAGGCAGGAAATAAGGGAGGTAGGGAGGAAGGAAAGGAAGTTCAAGAATCTAGCTATTTGTGCTGCTTATTTGAAGTTCATTAAAAAATGATTTTAATTTTAAAATGATAAAATACCCTGAGTTACCCTCAAAACTCAAAATCCACATGTTTAATTTTTTTTTTCCTGATGCTATTAAGAATTATCCCCAAAATAAAAATATTTACTCAGCAAACACTATCCCTGAAAGTGAACTCGCATTGCTCGTTGCTTCTCTACCCATCTGGTGCATGTCAATTCAGGTTAACAGGACTTGTGCAACTAAAATCTCCATCAGAAATTCCATCAGCAGGTGTTACATGTGAAGAGCATGATTTCACCTCTAATATCAATACCTTGTGGCAGAGATTCCTTCTCCCAAATGTTTCAATCTCAGAGGCCACTAAACTGAAGAACAAATGGGCATTAACTAAGGAAGACACAGCACCTCTGTCCAAGCTGAAGACAAACACTAGCAAAAGTGAAAAATAAAATTGTTTGGGAGCTACAAAAACTCCAAATAGATATTTTAAAATCTGGTGAATAAATGACAAATAATCTACTCTGATTATGTAGCTACACATTCCATGGAAGAGCCAAGACTACGAAACACTATTCCAATGAACGCTCTTCTCAAAGCAAGCAGTACATATACTCATTATCACTCCCAAATTTTCTATTTTCTGTGACTAATCTTGTGAGCTGTACAGAAACAAACCACAATCCTCAAGTTCACCTTTAGACTGGGGCTCAAATCCCATGTGTGCTGGTATAAAAATTAAGAGGGCAGCAGAGACAAAAGAGGAAACAGATAAATTTTTAAGAATTTTGCATTGTCTTGAGGATATTCAGATCAAGAAGGAGAAATCCACAGACCGTAACACCATTTGCTTGCAGCATAAATACTAATGTGGCTCAGTCACAGATACAGTATTCCATCTGCCAGCTGTGAGGAGGGAAAGGAAAGCAATTAGGCATATTATAAATCATGGCTTGAAGTGGCAGGTTCAAGCACCGCATGATTCATGATATGTAAAGAAAAATCTAGATAACGTGTTTTTTTTTCCTTAAAGTGAAAAATAAGTGAAAGAATTTAGGATTCTTTAAGTTTTCAATTGATTTATGGGATAGAATGGCTGGCCACTTGATTAAAGAATTATGTAACAAATTTACAGGACTGGAATTGCTTTTCCCATTAACACACATGCACCGTTAATAATTCTTTCACTGTCTCCTTTACATACCACCACCTGCACACTCCTCCTTGCCCACCCTCCCATCACCCTCACAATGACAATGATGAGAAACTTTTGGATGAAACATCTGAAGGAGAAGAATTTGCAAAAAAAGAATGCTTTTCTTATGATTAAACACAATTATTATTACTATGGTCCACAAAGCCCTGTATTTTCTAGCCTCTTTTTTTTTTTTTTTTTAGCTCCTCAAATGTTCTAATTCCTAATTTCTTTTAGGACCAGCCCATGTGCTATTCTTTGGTGTAAAATGCTACTCCATGTCCTCTTCTCTTTTACCTAGCCAACTTCCATTAACCTCTAGCCTTACATGTTGCCTTCTCAATGAACAATTTTTAATATCCCCCAACTAAGTCTCTTTATGATGTAATCCCATAATTCCCTGTGTGCCTCCTCAGACCATTTATAAAAACTATAATTCAATTGCAATTAAAATTATAATTAAGTATATTTTATAGCAATTATAATCAAAGAAAAGTTTGCCCTTTTTTGGTATAATACTCGTCCTCCAATACAGTAGCTATTTCCATCAAATAAGGATTTTTTTAAATTTAATCCCAGTGATTGGCTCAATGTTGCATATGTGGTATGTAGTCATGATAAAACAACTTCAGACTTTTGTAGAGGGCTGACTTCTGAACTTCCTGAAGTTTGAAGGAAAACAACATTAAAAATTAAAGCTCTAGTGTAAAAGTTGATCAGAGAAAAAAACTCTGCTGAAATATTAGCTAGTAGGCTTGGCAGCAGTGTGTTTTGAGATTCTACTCTGTGAACAGAATACTTCTAGATATGGAATTGATCTGTATAGTTTCTGACCTCTGGACTCTGCCATCAATTATGGGAGGTAAATGAGCAAATATAACTAACACATAAAGCCTCCAACAGAGAAAATGCACACATGAATGTAAGCTAATTTGACTATGGTAGAGTTTGGTGATAAAAAGCACACACCCTAAAGCCAGAGGGCCTCCTTCAGAATCTACCTTTAAAACTTTCTAGCCAATTACTTTGAGCCTGTTAACTCTCTGTCTCATTTTTATTATCAGTAAAATCACTTAAGGAAGGCATATCCTATAGAGAGTTGTATAAATTTTTTAGCACACATCTAAAGTGCTTGAAGAGAGCCTAAAATAAAGTAAGCTAAGAACTCTGTGTGTGTTTCAGCCTTGCAGAACTCTGTGTTTAAAAAAAAAAAAAACTAAAAAAATGCTACAGTTAAGGAATTAACCACAATTTAGGATAGTTCATCAGAGAAAACAATAAGACAGTGAATTTCGAGGAAAAAAATTCTGAAGGTGGATGGAGACTGTAGAGTAAACACACCTGACAGCAATAACTTAAGCATACCCTTAGAACAACACTCTCTGGCAAACACATCTGAATGTGTTATGGAGCTAGGGAATCCAGGTATGGCCAACCTGGAGATTCATTCCCTGTTCATGAGGAACATCTGAGTCACTGGCCCATCCCATGGAACATGGGCCATACAAGGGACTGAAGCCCTGAGTTTCAGGTTAAATGAAGGTTGCCAAGTGGAGGCTGTTAGGCGAAGGGTGTTAAGTGAAAACGTTGTATAAAATGCATGATATTTGCAGGTGGTTGCAGTTTTCCTGTCCAGCCCACCACCCCTGGGCCATGTGGTTATGCTGGCCACTGCTGGCCAGTTTCTGCACATAAAGTAATTCTCTTGTCCAGCCTGCTGCCACTGGCCTCTCTCTCCTGTATGTAAACACCCAACACAACCCCATGTCTTCTGTACTGGCTCTGGGTCTCTTCTGCCTCTTGAATCTGGTTCCTTCCTTATTGAGGTTAACCCCTTATTGGGGTTCAGCACAACAGGGATACAACTTCGTATAATGGAAAAAGAGTACATATTTAAAAGGAGAAAAAAGAAGCCTCAAACCTCACAGACAGAAGTGAGCCAAGTGTGTGTGAAGAAAAAGAAGGTTTATTCTACCTGAATGTGTATCATGGAATAAAACCAGCATAAACGAGCAACAGGAGTTGAAGGCCTTGGGGGCAGGTGCTGAAGAGTTTGATTCAAGAGCTAATTAGGAGCTACAGTGGTTTCCTGTGTAGGGAGCAATCTGATTAAAATAATTTAGGGAAACAATAATCGTTGCTTTAATTAGAATGGATTAGAAGGAAGAGAAATCGTCTGCTATGATTTGATCATTAGCAGGGCACAAAAAGAAGACTATGAAAATTGAGAAGGTATATTCCTAGGAAGAGATGGGGTTGAGGGGAATTAACAGAATTGTATTACAGATTCTAAATGCATATAACAGGAAGAATATAACCTAACAAAAAGGATCAGAGTGCATTGTTATGCTTGTTTGTAATGTAAATACATACATTATTAATATTTAATACATTTTATAAATAATGTTCTGATATTTTTAAGAAAAGAAAAATCTCATCAGACCTGCGTTAGTTGATAACAGGAATGCTTCTCCCTAACTGTCCACCCCCAGTTCTTTTTTTAGCCAAATTGCTAGACTAGCCTGCAATAACTGGTAACAAATCAGACCTATCAGATATATCCGCTACTTTGAAGACATTACCATTAGGATTTCAGCTGACTCACAAAATTCATTTTACATAGCTTACCAAACAGCTGTCAGGCTTCAATTGATTTTGTGTCACTCGAAAAACCAAGAACTTAGAAGTTAAAAGAGCCATATCATAAGGTTGACACCTTAATCTTACTCACCTCTGGTTTTGTGACTGACATTATTAAGAGATTAATGAGTACTTGTTCAATGATATATTTATGCCTTATGAACACTGTGTTCTCTATCAATTCTAGTTTATCATCTGTACATTTGATCATTTTCAATCATCAAGTGACCTATATTCATAAAAATAATCTATACTTTGAGTATCTTATCTATAGGATGGATAAGAATCTGATCTTCTGATGATAAGTTATATCTAGATACCTCTCAGGAGAAAAGAGGGGAAAAGTAACTTGTATTAAGTACAATCTATTGAGTGCCAAGATCTGCACAAGTTGCTTCACATTTTATCTCATTTAATCCTTTATTGAATTCTAGAAGATAAAACTAACTATTCTTTTTCTCAGGTAAGGAAACAGAAGCTCAGGAAGTCTGGGGAACATAAATGTCAGAGTTAAAACATGGTATCTGCTTTGTAAGCCTTGGGTGCCTTCATATCACTCCTTTCTTGGTCTTTTCACACAGTCCAACATTCCTAATCCTCAGATCATGATTATATAGTCATAAAACACCACGTCCTCTACCCAACTACAACCAGCGGAGACAACCAGCCAAACAGTCAACTAAGAAAACTTGATAAAAAGGGGCAGCAAAAGGCCAGTGAAGCAGAGATAGACTGCCCTCTTCTGCTAAAGAGAAATAGAACTTGCTCTTTTCACAGATTGCATGGCATTGTTACTATTTGCTAAGCACTGTCCCAATGCTTAGGTGATACACAGATCAAGATGACATAGTCCATGATCCTAGAGACTTACAATTAAATAGCTAAGAGAAATTGTTTATACAGTGAACCCAGGCAAGAACGACTAAGAAAATTGCCATTTTGGAGATTAGAAATGTTTTTGTAAGAGATGCCTTGATTGAAGAGTAAGATTTTATTCAAATAGCAATAGAATTAAGGGCTTTCTTAATAGGTGAAGTAAACACTAGAAACAACTACCACAGAAGTACAAAAAGATGTGACATATTTGGGAATGATGAGAAATCCAACCTAGATTTCTATGAAGACTCTACCTATAAAATGTGTGTGTGTTTGTGTGTGTGTGTGTGTGTGTGTGTGACATAATCTGAAAATGACTAATTTCATGACCCTGAATCCATACTATTTGAGCTTTAACCTTCTTTCATGAGTGCAGTCACTGAAAAGTTTTATACAGGATAGTGACACAGTAAGTACTATATCATTATTATCATTACTAGAATTGTTATTACCTATAGCAATAATATTAATAAATAATAACAACATACGTTAAATGCTTATGAAACTCTCTAGGTACTTTGCCAGGCACCTAATATTCATTTTTCATCGATTTCTTAGTCTGGTCTTAAAAACTAGAAATGGTTTTATTCCCATTTGATAATGGTAGAAATCAACCCTCAAAGAAATTATCATTTTCTCAAGTTTTTACTGATAGTGACGGGCTGCTCCTGGTATCAAACCTACTCCTGGTTCTCCCTAGAAATATTGTCTTAACTACTACACTCTACTGTCTCTGAATTTCATTTGAAAAATGAGGTGCAAAAAGTGGGCAAGCTGGATCTTAGTGAGACTTGTCAGAGAAACCAGTTATTCACCAGTTGGTGACAGGCATTTTCATTCCCTTCCTGTCTTGATAAAAATTATTGCAAAAGCAATTTAAGCCTTTGCCTCTCCTTTCAGTAGCTTGATATTCATTTCCTTGGTTTTCTATGTATTGCCACACTGAGAAATACACATTCCTGAGAGAAGGGAGGTAAAAAAAAAATTGAGATTTCTGATATTTTGCTTTCCACTAGCACCTAATGATCTCAAAGCAATTTACCAACAGTGCCTCCTTTATTCTTATTTTTGTTAGTGACAGACAAGTAGCAATGTTGCTGATTAAAGAACAATGTTCATAGTACAGAGGTTTTTAAGCAAATTAAAATATAACTGCTATATAACCCAACAATCCCTTTTCTGGGTATATACTCCCCCAAAAAACGAAATCACCACCTCATAAGGATATCTGTATTCCCATGTGTATTGCAGCATCATTCATGACAACCAACGTTCACAAACTAAATGCCCATTGACAGATGAATGGATAAAGAAAATGTGATACACACACACACAAACACACACACACACACACAAATATTATACAGCCTTAAAAAAGAAGACCCTGTCATTTGCTACATGGATGGAGCTGGAGGATGGTACGGTATGTGAAATAAGCCAGACTCCCCTCCCCTGAAAATATTGCATAATCTCGCTTGTATGTGTATTTTAAACCACTGAAATATACAGAAATAGAGAAAAACAGTGATTACCATAGGTAGGGTGGAGGAGAGAAAATAGGGAGCTGTAGGTCAAAGAAAACAAATATATAGGATGCATACGTCTAGAGGTCTAATGTACAACATTGGGACTAAAGTTAATAAAACTATATTGCTTCGGGGATTTTAAAATCTATATTTTTTAAATTAGTAATTTTAGCTATTCTTGTCATATAAACATTAATTATGTAATAGATGTGTTAATCCGCTTCACTGTAGTAACCATTGTACTATCTACGTGTTTATATGTATCTCTGTATTTATATGTATTTAATGACATCATGTTGTAAACCTCAAATACACACAATATAATTTATTTTTTAAAAAAGAACAATTTTCTTATTAACCACATTATTTTGGTGGCTGAAAGAAGACATAGACCAAGAGATGCTTTAAGGTACGGTTAAAATCAGATATATTACTGAGTTTAAACCCCAGGGATAGCAAATTGCTAGCCAGAGCTTTGACTTATTTGATAACACACAGGAAACATTCTCTAGGTTGAAAAAGAAGAACAGTGAAATAATGTTCTGCTCAATTCCTAAAAGACTTAATTTTATTTTTTCATAAGGTTTCTCTTTTGTCCACATTTTCTTTTGAAACTAGATACTTAAGAGAGTGTCAGGATGGGAATGCAGACTAATAGTCTTAAGAGTACAAGGAATAAAAGCTTCAGTTTTAACCACAGATCTGCCACTTACTGACTGTGTGATCTTGAGAAAGTCATCTACCCTTTCTCATCTTAGGACAGCACTGGTCTGAGGACACAAACATTAAATGAAGGCCAATCATTTCAAATTCTTTTTTGTTCCAACAGTCATTTTATCAATTATGTTATAAATTGCTTTTCTGGAAAAATGACTAATAATCTCCTTTTTTCCATTAATTTAAATTTAAGAAATATGCAGCCCAAATGTCAGTATTCTAAAATGTGCAGGGCAAAGCAGGTAACATAAATGAATGTTTCAAGATGGATAAAATATAATAGGGAATTCATGATCTCCGCCTTCAGACACTGAAGGCTCCATTTTTTTCAAAGGAACATAATGTGATCCAAACAAAAGACATCTGCAGGCTAAAACATGTTCATGTTTTTCCTATGAAAAAGTAATCTATTTCATTTGACCATTCAGCAGCCACTTGCATCATGCCCCCAGATTGCTGCATCCTGTCTATTGTTTTCAGCTAAACTTCTTGAAATTATCGTATATCTCTCTAAATAAAACTTAGATTCATCTTATTCCAGATTTCTTTTAATCAGGAGTATTGCCTTTACTCATGTCTTTTCTTGCTGGTTTCTTCTGCTAAATTTGACCGTGGTGATCACTCTCACTTCTTTGCGCCTCTAATCTTTGAGCCTCCATGAAACCTATCACCCCTACCTGTCCTACTGTCACTTCTTCTAGCCCTTCTTTTGGGGCTTCACATCCTCTCTGACCAGCCCTTAAGGAATGGTGCTTCCTTTGGCTCTTGTGTTAGCCCATTAGCCTCTCCTCTGTATGCTCTCCTTGGAGATCTCAAACACTCTTATGCGGATAACACCACCACCTACATTAAAAGCCCTGAGATTTTTCAGAACACCATATCTAAAGGTTTGCTAATTATCTATGTTGACGTCTTATAGGCACCTCAATCCCAATGTCCAAAACTATACTGGTTATCTTACCAATTTATCTCAGCTCCAAATCTACTCTTCTTTTCCTTGCTTTGTGATACTAGAGTGTGTCGAATAAACATCTTTCCTTTGCCAGACAGTTTGCTGTTAGGCTTTGACAACAGAGGGTAATGGAGTAATACCATTACTCCATTGACAACAGAGGGTAATAATTGTAAAGCCATTATAGAGAAAACTTCTTTTCCAGACACCAGAGTGCTGTTTTGTTTCCCGCAGATTACATGTGAGTGGCCCAGTAGTATTGTTCTTAATGACCCTCACAGAACTATGGCCTCTACTCTCCAATAAGCCTCTCCAACCACCCATCTGGCTGATTCTATATACCAGCTCCAGCCAGCAACCTCTGGAAACTGTTTCCAGCCACATGGAGAACCACACTTATGAACCAACTCTGGCCTGTAGTCTCTGGCAAATTTCTTTGGCACCATCAGGCTATGTTTTCCTGTTTCAGCCATCCTCTCCAAAAAGGTCTGAATCGCAGTCTTGGAGTAAGAGAGATTTGCTAAGTTCTTAGTCTCTTTACTCACCATCCTACAATCCCAGAGGAAGCAGCTGCTTTCTGAACTTGCTACTTCTATACCACCTAAAGTACTCCATTACACTTTTAACTAATTTTACCAATTAATTTTTCTTATACTGAATTTTCTGTCTCCAAATTATTGGTGTGATTTTCTATGATTGGACCCCGAAAGATACAAAATGGGTACCAAAAGTAGTCCCAGGAGGCAGACACTCAAAGGTGGGATTGGGGGATAGGATTGGTCCTTCCCTTGAAATTCAATACAGCCCTGAGTTACTACTTGCCAGTGCAAAAAGGTATGCTGATAATTCATGCCAAGCAGTGGCATCACAATTAGTCATGTTATTACATACTTAACTGTGATGACGTTCCAACTGAAATAGGTGCCTTGGATGCCCATGTGACTGCTGCACTTATCTGCAGTGAAAATAACTATAAGGACCATGTTTTGGAACAGAATATCCTGAGTATATTTGAGCACTAATAGGAAAAACAAACAAAAACCCCCAAAATAAATAAAACAAAAATAATAGAGATATTTTATTGATTATATTGCCAAAAAATCAAATACTAAATTTAGTTATGCAGGTTACAGAATCAAATATCAGTTAAATTTACAACCTTCACAAGTTTCACATGTGAGCATTAGGACATTGATTTAAAAACAACATGCCACTACAATTCTGAATGAGGACATCCTGTTGGACTCAAATGAAACAGAGCATCTCAAATCCCTGAGGCACATTGAACCTCCCTGACCAGCAGAAGTAGCTTTCACTCCTGTGTCCGAAAAGGTCTTCCTTCCTTCCTTTGCTTGAAAACTCTGTGATAACCTCACCTGGGGCCGATTCCTTGTAAGGATATTCTCCACGTGTCAGTTACACAGCTTGGCCCAAGAGGGAAGAGATTATACTCCAAAGAATTGCAAAGTTGTGTAGTATCTGTCAGCAAAATCCTGGGATATGTGTTTTGTAGTTAATTCTATAGCTATTAAACCAAGGAAAGTGGAATATAACACCAGATCAAGCAAAATGCATTTATATGAGTGCAGTTGCTGAGTAATCTGAATTTAATGAATTGGCTTATGCACCTGGAAGTGGTTCTGATGTCCTACTTGGTTGGTGGACTGAAATTAAGACTTAATGGTGGGATATGTTTAATAAGGAGGAGCTGTTAGTGCTTCCCTGAAATGATGAGCAGGAATGAATTCAAAGTTTATGAAGATGGGAATGTTGGTGTGGATTAACCTATGATATACCCAGCCATCCACCAAGAAGACCCAGGAGATAATTTCTCCACTATTCGTTGCCAAATACATTTCTAAGGGCAGCACTCTCGTCCTTGAGAATCTCCATGGTTCTACTTCTTAGTCAGCCAGATATAACAATGGGAAATATAGTAACTGAGATAGGCTCCTGATTTCAAAGAGAATAATGGGATTCCTAGAGAAGCAGAGACCAAGTGACATCACTTAATTGTCAAAGACAAAATAAACACATTTGTCACAAAGAGCAGCAGAGTTTTGACCTTCGGGGATCTCTGAGAGTGACTAATTGATTACAATGTCCCTAAGAATGAAACAGGTGGGAAGACTGCAAGAACGTTATTGAAATGTACCAGAAAAGAAAAATCTAAGTCTGATGGCCAAATCCTGACTTGAGTCACCACAATGCTTGGTCATGACTTCTAACTCACTTTCCACATCTAAGGCAGTTTAGGATACAGAATCTCTTAAAGAGCAGTCTGGGTCTCCTTGTGAAAGGGCCCTGCGGCAGTGCCACTAGTATATCTAACAATTATTTCCCCAACCATTTTCCAAAAGGTACTGCAGCCAGTTACTAGAATAAGAGTGTACAAGGGAAAAGTAAATACTTTCTGGGCATTACTAGACATTGACAAAGTATCAGTAATTCTTCGGGTCCCAAAATGCCACTGTGACTCACCAGTTAAAGTAGGGGTTTATGGTAGTCAGATAACCAATGGAGTCTGCCCAAATGTGAATGACAGTGGATCCAGTAAGTACATAGATCCACCCTGTATGTGTTTCTCAACAGGGCCTGATGGTATAGTTAAAACAGACATATTCAGAAACTGGTAGAATATATAAATTGGTTTTTTGACCCAAAGGGTAATGTCCATAGTAGGAAGAACCAAATGGAAGATCCTGGAACTTGCATAACAACTGAAATAATACATCGAAAGCAATATTACACTTTGGGGGAAATTTCAGAGATTTCTGCCAACTTCAAATATTTCCAAAATGCAAGGGTGTTGATACCTATCATAATCTCACTTAATCATGTGACTGGCCCGTGAAAAAGTTAGATGGATATGGGAAAAGACTCGATTATCACAAACTTCATTAGGTAGTAAATCTAATTGCAGCTCTTGTTCTAGATGTAACATCTTTGCTTGAGTAAATCAACGTGGCCCCTGGCACTTGGTATGCAGCTATTGACCTAGCTAATGCTTTTTCTCCCTATCAATGTGGAAGGACCACCAAAAACAGTGTTATTTTACCTGGAAGGACCAAGAATATACCTTTGTAAGGTAAGGTATATTAACTCACAACTAAGACAGTTCTCACCTTCCGCCATAATACAGTTCATAGAGATGCTGACCATCTCAACATTCCGCAAAATATCACAGTGGTCCACTATATTGACGATTGAATCTGATAAACAGAAAATAACAAGTACTTTAGATGACTTAGTAAAATATGCAAGCTAGAGAATGAGGAGTTCCTCAGACAGAAAATATAGGGAGAAACCCAAGTGGGTGGATGCAGCAATAGAGACTCAAACATGACTGTAAATGACAGCAGCAAACTATTCCATATGAGCATAAGTTCAAATGGTATATTTGGTTGCCTACATTTCCTGGACTGAGGGAAGGCTGGATCATAGAGAATTACTGATGGTTTTGCTGGAGGGTCACAGACAGAATGAATATGATTGGGATATTAGTAACATGATTGTCTGGGACAGACATGCGGATGGGCCTCTCACAGTGGGCACATAGCTATGAAGATATCTCTGTCCCATGTGTATGTTCACCAAAGTGAACATTTCAGCATGTTCAATTTAATACATTGTCAATATGCCAGTGGACAAAATTACACATATGCCAGTTACTTCTTTTCCCCAATCAATTCATTACAAGATCAATGGACCCATGTACAAAGTGTCCCTGGTGGCAGGGATAAAGACTGTCCCATGGTTCAAAACTTGGACTTTATCTTACCAAATCTGACCTAGTTACTGCTATTGCTGAGTGTCCAGTCTGCCAACAGAAGAGACCAATCCTGAACCCCTGCTGGAATACCATTTCCCAGGCTAGCGTAGAATCAGCCAGTCAACTGGTAGGTTGCTTATGTTGGAACTTTTCCATTGTGAGGGGTCAGATATTCATCTTCCCTAAAACATACACATATATTCTGAATATGGATAATCTTTCCTGACACAATGATGTTGCCTGCATCACCCTTCACAACCCTGTAGACTGTGCTATTTTGCAGAAAGTCAATCACAATTATGCACCGTGACAGTATTCCAAACAGCATTGCTCCTGATCAAGTAATCTTTTCAAAGCAAAAGTACATAAATGGGTTTACGCCCATGGAATTTCTAGTCTTTTCTCTTTACTTGTCTTGCATATGTATACACACACACACACACTTGTTCATATGTTGGCTATTTTCTTCTTGTCTCTCCCTCTTTCCCTTGTTATTTCATACACAGTTGTTGGAAGTCAGCTGGTTAGCTTTATTTTTCTTTTTTTTTTTTTTATTTATTTAGAGACAGGTTCTTTCCTGGGCTCAAGAAATCCTCCCCCTCAGCCTCCTGAGTAACTGGGACTACGTCTGCATGCCACCAAGCCCGGCTATTATTTATTTATTTGTAGAAACAGGGTCTTGCTATGTTGCTCAGGCTGGTCTCAAACTCCTGGGTTCAAGTGAACCTCTCATCTCTTCTTCCCAAAGTGCTGGGATTATAGGTGTGAGCCGCCAAGCTCATCCTTTAGGTCAGTTTTAAAATTTAACCTTTAAGACTGACTAACACGTCCTTGATATTCCCCTTCCCTTGACTGAATTTTAAACAGACTTGTTCCCATCTCTAGGCACCCACCTCCTTTTTCTTAGAACACTGACTTTAGAAAACTTGGAATTGTAAGTCCTTTCTTTTCTCCTTTAACATGTAAATCTTTTTAAATGCTTCTTGCCAGTTTTACAACCCAGGAATGTATTTCTCAAGGACCTGGGTGCTGTTCCTTTGAAATGTAATAAAAATAAAGTCTCTAACTCCCAGTGTCCATGGGAGGATATAAGCCTAAGTTCCTTCTTACTGAAACTACTGCAGTAGCTTCTTGATTATTCCCACTCTTAACTCCTTCAAATTCATCCTCTTCCCTGCAACTTGAATATTCTATTTAAAGGAGAAATACATGCCACTACTTTTCCACTATTTTTAAATTTCCTTCATAACCTAAGACCACACTTAATTCTCAAACACAGACATACCTATTACCACAGATATGAAGATGTACCATAGGATGCTGAAAGCATAAACATGACACATCTTTTAAGACCATTGGCATTACTCAAATATTTTTTTGGAGCAATTTAATTAACAAGTAATTTAAAATTATTAGTAAGCAGATATAAAATAGAGTCCAAAATTCACATGAAATTTTAAGTTTAAAATAACAGCTTTTAATCCTTAAAATAACAATACAGTATTAACAACCATCTCTGTTGTTAGGGTTACATTGGTGAAAAAGATGAAGAACCACTGTAATCCCACTGCTTTGGGAGACCCAGACAGGAGGTTGCTTGAGGCCAGAAGGTCAAGACCAGCCTAAGCCAAAAAGTAATATCTTGTCTCTACAAAATATTTTTTTTTAAGTCAGCCAGATGTGGTGGTGCATACCCATAGCCCCAGCTACTTGGGAGGTTGAGGTAATAGTCAGGGGATGGATCGTTTGAGACCAGGAGTTCAAAGTTACATTGAACCATGAAGCATGATCATGCCATTGCACTCCAGCCTGGGCAACAGAGTGAGATTCTTATTCAAAAAAATTTTTTAAGTTGATTTTGCTTGTGCAAAGAGTACATTAGTTATATAGTTTCATGTTGCCATTCCAAATGTTGTTTTTCTCAACTAGATTGTTCTCCTTCTGCCCTCATGTATCATGAGGCTTCTTCCAGACTCATACCCCATTCATTCTTTATAATGAATTTTTTGTCATTCCATGTTTCCTTAACCTATGGGAAAAGTAAGCTAGGATCCTTCTTTGCCCACTACAATAACTATACTTGCCATATTGTATTAAAATTATCTGTCTATATGTTTGCCTACCTGTTTATACTGCAAGTTTTTTGAGTGTAAAAACCAAATCTTCTTGATATGCTATTCAACTATGTATCACTATCACCTACCATCATGTGTGATATATGGCTGATAGTCAAAAATACTGCTTGAACTAATAATAAACTACACAACCACACATTGTATTGGGACACATTTAAATGTAAGTTTGATTATATAATTCCTATTTTTCTAATTGAGAATTCAAGGCTGTCGACATCAATGAATCTACCATAAACCACGCATTTCAATGGGAATGATATCGCCTCCAGGGGATGAAAATTTATTCTTGGAAAAAGAAAAATATCTTAGAGATTATAATGGTTTCCCTACCTGACAAAATCTTAATCTGTCATTGATTGCCTTAGGTATTATATGAGCACCAATAGCATTGAATTCATGAAACACACACAAAATATATATAAGATCAGTGCTATAAAACTACAGTGAGTAGATGGCTATGATTAGAAGATTTTCTCTACTTTGAGTTTCCACAATTTCAAAGTCATATCATGAGGGTCTGTGTATGTGTACTGGATGCTACTGGCTGACTTGTGGAAATTAGTTGATCTTCAGTACTTTAGTGCATTAATTGAAATTCAAAAAAATTAATAACAGCATATATTTCATTACTAAATTTTATAAAAGTTATTCAACCCAACATTATTCTATCTAGTCCTGAAAATAAAAATGTTGACAATATATGAAAGAATATATAGCAAGTAGTTATTTTCTCATATCAAAGTTAAAAGTTATGTTCTCCAAAAATAATTCTGGGAAATTATTTTTTGATTGTTTTACTTTTGCCAGAAAAGCAACAGTTTTAAATGATTTTAAAAGTTGTTTCCTCTACAGCCATACCACCCTGAATGTGCCCGATCTTGTCTAAAATTTGTTTACATTGCTACTCTTATTATGTATTCATATAAATTGCTAATTTATATATGTAGTTTGATACTTTAAAATATATATAAATAAAATCTAAAATCTTTATACTAAAAGTGACTCAAAAAATACAGTTATAAAGTTAACTTATATGTTAATAGGATTTTAACTTTTAACCTGAAGTGTTAGTCACTCTTAACCCTGCGTTGAATAAAGAACCAGGAAGTGGAGAAGCCAAAACCTAATCCTATCTTGTGGTTGCAAATTCAATTTTTAAAAAACATTCATCCCAGCTGGCTCCTGGCAATCAGAAATCTGATGGAAAAAGTCGTTCTGTCGCAAGCGCATGTTGATTTTTCAACCTCTGCCGGGGGCCTTAGGTGCCCTCTTAATGGCCTGTGATTCTCTGCTCATCAGAAAAGCATTTTCTCCCCAGACATCCTGGAAAATGCTCTTCTCAAAACCAAATACTCTGCAAATCAAAACAGACCTAGAGCTTGACTTAACATTCTGTAATGTGTTCTCCTGTCATCTGTGCCAAACAGAGCTGATTAAAAGACAGTTTAAAGCAAAGTGAATCCATACTAAGGAGTGAATTACCTACAGGTGGGCCAGTGCACTCTTCTAATTCGTATCTAGGGTCTGGCAGGCTGCTCACTGGACAGGCATAAAGAAACATTCACCAATCGCGCAAGTGTACATGGTAGAATCCCCCATCAAAAAAAAAAAAAAAAAAAAAAAAAACTTTTATCTCTTAGATAGAGGGCCAGAAAGACCCTCCTATTAATCTTCTCTACTTCAAAAAACCTTTGTTGTTTAGAGATGCCCTAACATATTTTCAAAGAGAAACCCACAAGTCTTAGGCCCCATTTAGTAATTCTACCACATCTTACACAAAATCATAGAAATACAACAGAGAATAATGTCCTCTCTTGTAAGTTTAAGGTAAAATTACTGAACAGTGAGACATCATCTAATTAACACAATAAAAAAGACTCTTATAATAGGAATTGCAGTCCACAGTGGGTATTCCAGAAAGCTGAAAACAACCAAAAAATGAAAAAACGGTGACTTCTGGCCAAATGTTGGCATAGAGTATTTGACCAATCTGATCAAACAATATAAAGTTGCCATGATGACATCATGATCTATTGGCAATTCCCATGGCATGTAGAGATTTGTAATGAGCCCTTTAAAACAGATCCACCCCCCAGGAAACTACATGGTGAAGACACATTGTTTTAATGTAAGCATGGCTGTATTTCCTGAAAGCAGTAAGGAAATTGATTTTGAACAAGATAATTGAGGATATACAGCCTCTGCTGTAATAGGATTAATTAGAAAAACAATGCACAAAATGATTTCCACCCAATGATCTCCTTCACAAGAATATAGCAATGGTTAAAAATGTGTGTTTCAAGAGCACTCAGAGCATCTCTCATTGTTGGTTTTATTATTTATTCAGATTTAAGAGAAACTTCAGTTTCAGACACTATTCTAGCCACAGGGGCTATTGCAGAGAAGAATAAGATCTAGTTCCTGTATTGATGAAATTCACAATCAAATGGGATATATAGTCATATAAATCTATAATTGCCATAAAACTTAAGTCCTATAAAAAAGGCATATGCAGTTTTTTTGGAGCAAAGAGCAGTAAAGGACTCAGTATTTGGAAAAGTTGCAGAAAGTTTCATAGATGACATCACATTTAAAATTCATCTTGAAAAGTGAATGAGTAAAACTTTTCTAGATGAAGAAGGCAAGGAAGAATATTTCTGCTAGAGGTTTGTCAATATAAAAAAGCAATGGACGTGTGTGGAATAGAGGACAATTCAGCCTGTTCAGAACAATGGATGTGACCCTGTGGATACCATATGAAGCTGAAGAGGTAATTTGAGGTCTGGTAAATTAGGACTGATGTGACCCAATATGGGTATACATAACTCCACTTAAGACTTGAATTAATCCATAATAATATAAATAAATGGAGGAAAAGAGACAAATATCCCATGCAGAAAAACAACAACAACAATTATGTAGCTGTCCCACTCTCAAGGAGGTGGAGTTAAACTCCATACATTTGGGATGATGTGTGCTGTGACTCCTTCCAAAGAGCATAACAAGGAAAAAATGAAAATAAGGTAACTTGAGAGTGACAAAATCTGACAAACTCTCTCTCAGCCAGGTGATTAAGGTCAACATTAATAGTGATAAGCCATGTTGATAGTATGTACCCTTGCTATCATGTGATAAAAATTGCACTTTTCCTCTGTGATCTTCTCCCCAAAAACCTATAATCCCAGTTTAATTATACAAACTCAAGACAAATCTCATTTGAAGGGTATTTTATAAAATATCTGAGCAAGGCGCCTCAAAACTGTCAAGGTCATAAAAAACACATCTAAGAAATCATCATAGCCAAGAGAACATTAATGAGTTATGACAACATATATGGAAAAGAAAAAGTACATTAAATACAAACTAAGAAAAACTAACGTGTGGACTTTAGTAATAATGTACCAATATTTGTTCATTAATTGTAACGAATGTATCATACTAATATAAGACATTAACAGTAGGAGAAACTGGGGGACGGGGTTATGGGAACTCTCTGTACAATCTTTACAATATATTTTGAGCCTAAAACTATTCTTTAAAATACTGTAGACAGTCAGTCCTATATATCTGCAGTTTCAACCAACTGCTCATCAAAAATACTGTATTTGTGTGATGCAGCACCTGTGGATACTGAGGTTCAATGTTTTGTATCTGCAGGTTCCTCATGGCAGACTGCAGGACTTGAGTATCCATGAATTTTAGTATCCACTGGAGTCCTGAAACCAATTTTCCATGAAGAACAAGGGATAATTGCATTTTTAAAATGTGAATTGAAGTAGTTTCTCACCTATCATAAGCAGATCAGGAAAAAAGTGTCTATTAACCCAATAAGTTATACAGAACTAGCCTCAAATTAAGCAAATGTAAGACTCCCATGGTTTTTACAATTACAGTTCTCTCATTCACATTAAAAAGTACAAATCCACCCTCTGAAGGCCATGTAAAATCTCTGTTAATTATCTATAGCTTTAGTCATTTCTCATACCATCTCTCAATTAGTGTAATTTCTAAAAGGAGGTAGATTAAAACTGAGGAAACCAGCAAATGGCATTCTAGGATCACATAGTTAAAATCTGGAAATGTTAAAACCAAAAGTTTGATGTCTGATAGCAGGCCTAGGCATCTTCAAAATTTTGGCCATTTCTACAGGTGATACAGATTGTCACACACATCATCAATAGGTGAAGAGTCTCAGTCATAGAAGGACTGCAGACTCATTTGTTAATTATCTGTGGATAACGAACATATTTTCTGTTTGGGGGATAATTTCAAAATCAAATATTTTCTTCTGTTGTCTCCATAAATCAATAAGATATTCTAAAATTTTAATATTTCAGCATCTAACCAATATCTTTCAGTCTTGCATCTTTACCTGGCAGAAGCATAAAATTATTTAATAGATGATATCTCTTATTTAGAAGATGAAAAGAAAGAAAAGAGTCACTATACTAAAACTGTACCTCAGGAACTTAATTAACTTTTGGCATATTTTCTTGTAAGAAACAAAACATTTCATGGTTAAATAGCACACATACAGAAAATACAAATGTTCACATTAACAAATTATCTTTATTACCAATA
This sequence comes from Homo sapiens, assembly GCF_000001405.40. Classification (NCBI taxonomy): domain Eukaryota; kingdom Metazoa; phylum Chordata; class Mammalia; order Primates; family Hominidae; genus Homo; species Homo sapiens. The sequence goes on along the minus strand of NC_000011.10, from coordinate 96,691,216 downwards.
TTAAACCACCACTCAAGTGAAAAAATGTTTAAAACATCAACAACATTGCAGACATCGTCAGCATGCATCTTCCCACTCATAAGTCTTCCTTTCCTCAAAAAAAATTGCTGTCTTGAATTTTATGTTGATCAACTCTTTTGTTAATAGTTACATCAGCTATTTGTATGTCACTAAGCTTAAGGATTAGTATTTTTGAAATATGTATTTTAGCTGTTTTTTTTCATTACAATTCTTCAGAAAACATTGTCTTTTGGATTCACCTATATTGTTGTGTGCATCTGAAGTTTATTACTTTCTTTGCTGTATAGAATTTTATTGTATGAGAATACCACTATTTAATAATTCTACTATACAAGGACATATGGTTTGTTTACAGTTTAGGTGTTATGAATAAATTATATGTTTTATCCATGTTTTCGTGTCTATAAATAGAAGTAGAATAGCCAAGTTACTGAGATGCATACATTCAATATTAACAAAAAACAACAAAGTATTTTCCAAAATGATTATACTTATTTACAATAACATCAGCATTGTTCATGAAAATTCTCACTGATGTGCAGCTTTGCCAAAATTTATCATCAGTCTTTTTCATTTTTAGCCATTCTGATATGTGTATACTGGTATCATACATGATTTTTTATCTCCATTTCTCTAATTACTACTGAGGTTGAACAAATTTTCATTTGGCTATTTGGATATCCTCTTGTAAATTGGCTTTACATTCTTTTACCCATTCTTCTACTCTGTCTTCTCATTCATTTGTAGAAATTATGGATAAGGGTTTTGTGACAATTATATATTTTGCAAGTACTTTCTCTCACTACATAGTTTGTCATTTCACTCAACAATGACATTTGATAAACAGACGGTCTCAATTTTATTACAGTCAAATTTACCAATCTTCTACTTTATTAATCTTCTTTATTCTTAGCACTTTATGTATTTTGTTTAAGAAAATTTTTCCAGCTGCAAGGTCATGGAGATAGTCTTCATTCATCTTCTGAAAACTTTGTTGTTTTGCTTTTAACAATTGGAATTGATTTTTGTATATAGTGGGAGATAGAAATCGAGTTTCATTTTTTTTCAGGTGGATATCCAATTATTCCTGCATTTTTATTGAAAAGATAGTCCCTTCCAAACTGCTATGCATTTCAACTTTTGTCATAAATCAAATGTTCATATGGCACTAGTCTGACTCTAGGGTGGTCTCTCTTCCATTCTACTATTAATTTGTTCTCTCATTGTGAGCATATCATGCTGGTTTAAGTTTTATAGATTTTTATTGAGTCGCGGTATCTACTAGAATAGCAATCTCTTGCATTTTTTCTTCTTTACTTTGGCTGTATACACGTATGTGTACGTGTGTGTGTGTGTGTGTGTATGTATCTTAGAATAATCTTGCCATGTTTCACTAAAAATTTCTAGTAGGAATTTGGCCAGGGTGACCATTCTAGAGAAAACTGATACCATTTAATGTCTTCCAATCCATGAAAAGGATATATTTCTCTTTTACCTAAGTTTTATTTGACTTTTCTCAATAATGTTTTACATTACAAATATAGTAAAAAAAATCCTATAATCATTCAACTAGTGAAATTTTAGCTATAAAAAAGGCTTTGCATTTCTCTTGAATAATCAACATATCCAAAGAAAAAGGAGCACTATGATTTTTAAGAAAAACGTATTGTGACACAACAGTTTTTACCTATAAAGTTGTTATTCTTGTGGGAAAATAAAATATTCATGAATATTTAATGCCCTGAAATGATTACCCTTATATTTTATTTAGAACATTTGTTACAGATTTTCTAGCTGATTGAAATAGAAAACAAGATCAACAACTAAGGGGAAATAAAGTCAAAATGAAAAAGAACTAATATGGAGCACTGAAGTCAATTAAACATGTGAACACAGGTACACACAATCATTAGAAATACCAGTTTAAAAAATAGAAGACAAGATCTTGAATATAATTCTTGAAATGTAAAATGTTTTTGGTAAACAATATTTATTTTAATAATAAATCACATCTAATAATAACAGCTCTTCTATGTATGTAGGTAAAGAGGAAAGACATGGTAAGTAAAGGCAAGACAAATTTCTCTACCTGCATATGGGTAACTAACAACATTTAGTATAAAAGGAATGCTTCTGCTTTCAATCTTAAAGTACAATGCTGATGCTTAATTTGAGATATAAGTATCAGATTTTGAAACATTACAAAATTGTATACTTATTCTAAGAATAGATGTCTCAGTAACTGCAATCTGCAGTCCATTAAAAAACAGCAAAACCAATGTGAGGTTTGTTTTAGCCATGGCAGATGTTTTCTTTTATTGAGATATTAAATTTTACTGCATAATTTTTTGAAATGCTTTTTCAAACTGTCGATTATTTGATATAGTCATTGCATTCATAGATATTCTCATACTGAACCATCGCACCATAGTTAAAACAAACTTCATATTGGTTGTGTTGTTTTTTGAGTGAACTGCAAATTTCAATTACTAACATTTTGAGATTTTTGCCTAAATATTTATGCATGTGATTTATCAAATTATTATCATATATTTGTGTTATATTTGTTAGGATTTTTAAATAACACTAGATAGAGAGTTTGCAAGGGAATAATTTTCTTCATCGTAAAATAAGTATTCAGCACAGAAAATGCCTTTGCCTTCCATTTCTATGGAGAATGAAGTCACTTTTAGATAACTTTCTCACTTTCCTATTTATCTAATTTTTCTCCATGTATAAGTTTAGTAATTTATAATTTCCTAGAAATAATGTATACAGTGTGAAAGACTGAGTTGACTGTGGTTAACAACTAAACATGTAAGAGATGAGCAGAAGCAAACGGGAGATGAGAAAGGAAGGATGTGAAGTTAGAAATAATAAGCAATCTAACGATATAGATGTTTTATCCCTATGAAACAAAGAATCACAATAATATCAATACTTCTAAACACTTGGAGCTATTTTTCTTTTTCTTTTTTTTTTTTTTTTTTTTTGAGACGGAGTCTTGCTCTGTCACCCAGGCTGGAGTGCAGTGGCGAGATCTCGGCTCACTGCAAGCTCCGCCTCCCGGGCTCACGCCATTCTCCTGACTCAGCCTCCCGAGTAGCTGGGACTATAGGCACCCGCCACCACGCCCGGCTAATTTTTTGTATTTTTAGTAGAGACGGGGTTTCACTCTGTTAGCCAGGATGGTCTCGATCTCCTGACCTCATGATCCTCCCGCCTCGGCCTCACAAAGTGCTAGGATTATAGGCATGAGCCACCGTGCCCGGCCATCTGGAGCTACTTTTACGTGCCAGCGACTAAGTAGGGTAGCCATTAATTATTGTTCAGGCAGTATAGTGCACAATTCCAGGGCACCATTTACATAGCATTCTATATCAAAGATGCTTCTGGAATCGTATAAGGCAAAGCCTGAGTGTCAAAAACAGTGGCCCTCCCTTAAGCACTTTGTATATTAACACATGTAACCCTCAGAACAGCCCTAAGAAGTAACCATTATTACTATCCCACTTTACAAATAAGGAAACAAGAGGCAGATAGTAGGTACTTTGCCAACATTCCCAAGGCTAGATGCAGTAGAGCCAGGCTTTAGTCAGCTCCAGACCACCATGCTACTACACAGAAAATAAAGTTTTGTTGAATTGAACCAATCTGTACAGAATTAAAAGTAAATTTTTCTATGGGGTAAGAGAAAAGGAATAAATGAGTTTGGGATAGGATGATAGGAAAGACTCAGTGAAAGGAGTAATAGAAAACTGCATCTTGAAAGAATTAGTCAAATTATAATAGATAAAGAGGCAGGGGAGGGCTCCTCAGACGGATGGAACAATGGGCATAAAGAATGTCAACATCTACTTTTACCTGTGAGAGCCTGTGACCGAAAAGATACGTGGAAAGCAAAATGGGGGAATTATTGTCATCTATTCATACGTGAGCAAACTTGGAAGTACTGGCTACATGAATGTAATTTGTAAAAACGGCTTCAGAAATCTCAAAACAGAAACATAGTATAGATAATAACAACATTAAATTGCCTTAAAGAATTTTGCTGTGGTGTGGACTGTTGACTAGGAGGACTGGAAAAAGAGGTCCATCTATTCTCACTGTGGCCCATCAGTTCCAACAGGAAAAGGAGGGGGCTCTCATGGAAATTACAAATATGATGTGACAAACTGATAATACTTTTCTTTTTTTTTTTGAGGTGGAGTCTTGCTTTGTCACCAGGCTGGAGTGCAGTGGTGCAATCTCAGCTCACTGCAACCTCCGCCTCCAGGGTTCAAGCGATTCCCCTGCATCAGCCTCCCAAGTAGCTGGGGTTACAGGCACGTGCCACCACACCTGGCTAATTTTTTGTATTTTAGTAGAGACGGGGTTTCACCATGTTGGCCAAGGTGGTCTCGACTTCCTGACCTCGTGATCTGCCCACCTCAGCCTCCCAAAGTGCTTGGATTACAGGCATGAGCCACCGCACCTGGCCAATGCTATCATTTTTTAAAGTAAATTAGTCTTCTAGGAGAAACGCGAACCAGGTGCAACCATTTTCAATATTCTCGGCTGAACCTCATACAGCATGGTGCCCACATTCTTCGTGACAAAAGTTAACAAAAGGAAACCTTGTTTTCCAAAATAGACAAGCATTTACAAACACTGGCACTGCATTGTTATGAATAAACAACAGTAAACGCACAGGAAGTGACAGTGTCACTCTCCACCACCGGGGCCCTAAGATCCTCACTACATCTGTATCTCATTTCTTGATCCAGAGCTGCAATGCCATAGGCCACCTGTTTCAGGTACACTCCTAAAGCCAGGTGAAATGGGAGAACAACAAGATTGAAGGCTTGCATAATATTCATTTATTTTCATAATTAGTGGATGGGATGAAAGGATAAACTGGAAACTCCTGTGACCTGGAGAAACTACTTGAAACTTCATAATTGGCATATACAAAGCTCTCCAGGATTTTAATGAATTATGGACTATAACATGTATAAGGAAATGAAATGAGATTTTCATTCAGCTCTGTGGGAGTTTTATGTTCCCTCCTAAGCTGTATTCTACAAGTCTTTACATTCCACGTCACATGTAAGTGAGCAAATTTATCCTGTCTTTTGAAATATATGCATGTATTTCAGCCCATATAGGGTGAGAATCTGGATTAAGTGTAAGTTTGCCTTTATCCAACTCACCTCTGGTTCCAAATCTTCATTTCCACTGATGTCTCAATGTCCAATGTGATTCCACATCCTTATATCCTTTTCTATCCTTCTAAACTTTTTTGTTTGTTTGTTTTGAGATGGAGTCTCACTCTGCCACTCAGGCTGGAGTGCAGTGGCGCGATCTCAGCTCACCGCAACCTCCACCTCCCGGGTTCAAGCCATTCTCCTGCCACAGCCTCCCGAGTAGCTGGGATTACAGGCACGCACCACCATGCCAGGCTAATTTTTTGTATTTTTAGTAGAGACGGGGTTTCACCATGTTGGTCAGGCTGGCCTCTAACTCCTGACCTCATGATCTGCCCGCCTCGGCCTCCCAAAGTGCTGGGATTACAGGCGTGAGCCACCACGCCTGGCCTATCCTTCTAAATTCTTATTTTCCATGCTACTTTGCCTCATACATTGGTTCCTTTAATCTCCAAAGTATTACAGTCTGAAAACTGCATAGATAATAGAGTTGACTGAGAGCTTGAGCACGGGAGGCATGCACATCACAGCACGTAAGGCACAAAACTCTTCCAGCTCTTCTCACACATCCGTGATACTAGACAGATTCCCACCATGGAAAAATTGCAGAAGTCTTCTCTTCACAATCACTACAGGCTTCAACGTCCTGCCATTTGAGATCTCTTTCCCTCGTGATCCTCCACTTTATTCCTCCACTTGTTTACTCCTGTCCCTGTGTGATTACATTAGGCTCACCTGGATAATCCAAGCTACCCTTACTGTTTAAGGTTTTAAGGCGTGTGGTTTTTGCTGTTGTTGTTTTTTCAATTAGCAGCATTAATTCCATTTGCAACCTTAATTGCCCTTTACCAGGTAGCCTAAAATATTTAAAGGTTCCAGGGATTCAAATGTAGACATCTTTAGCGAGCTACTCGTCTCCTATCACAGTGGATATCCTTTTGGTATGTTGCTGGATTCAGTTTGCTAGTATTTTGTTGAGGATTTGTGAATCTATATTCACAACTGACATTGGTCGGTAGTTTTCTTATGATGTCTTTATCTGTTTTTTTCTAAGTTCTTAAGGTGGAAGTTTACAAAATTGCTTCGAGAATTTTCTTCTGTCTAAATATATGTGTTTAATGCTATTTGTTCATGTTATTGTTGCTGCTGCTGCTGTTTGTTTACTGACTTTCCTGAACTATGTTTCTGAAGTCTATGTTCTTTGTACCGTGGGGCTATCGAAGTTTCTGCTCAGCTTACTGGTCAAATACTGACTGAACGTAAATTTCTTTAAATGCCTGTAACCAATAAGCTCCCAGCTTTTACCAAAAGGCTCTCTGTGTATCCGGTGGGGCATGGCTTCAACACTCAAGTCCAGCAGTTTAACACTCTGCCTTAGCTTTTTTGTCTCGCTCTGTCACCCAGGCTGGAGTGCAGTGGCGTGATCTCAGCTTACTGCAACCTCTGCCTCACGTGTTCAAGTGATTCTCCTGCCTTAGCCTCCCAAGTAGCTGGGATTACAGGTGTGTGCCACCATGCCCGGCTCATTTTTTTTGTATTTTTAGTAGAGACATGGTTTCACCATGTTGGCCAGGCTGGTCTCGAACTCCTGACCTCAGGTGATCCGCCAGCCTCAACCTCCCAAAGTGCTGGGATTATAACCATAAGCCACCATGACCAGTCAGGTTTTACCTTTTTTTTTTTTTTTTTTGCCTCAGGGGTCTTTACTCTGGTTTGGGCACAAGTTAATAATGTGGCCAGCACTTAATTGTAAACTGCAGGGCTACACTATCTTTTTTTTCTTTAAATTATACTTTAGTTCTGGGATACATGTGCAGAACATGCAGGTTTGTTACACACATATACACGTGCTATAGTGGTTTGCTGCACCCATCAACTTGTCGTCTACATTAGGTATTTCTCCTAATGCTATCCCTCCTCTTGACCCCCAACAGGCCTCAATGTGTGATGTTCCCCTCCCTGTGCCCATATGTTCTCATTGTTCATCTCCCACTTATGAGTGAGAACATGCGGTGTTTGGTTTTCTATTCCTGGGTTAGTTTGCTGAAAACGATGGTTTCCAGCTTCATCTGTGTCCCTGCAAAGGACATGAACTCATTCTTTTTTATGGCTGCATAGTATGAGAAAATGTGGCACATATAGAGCTTTTACTTCTTACTTGTGGAGAGTTTAAGGCCCTCTTGGGTCTTTCTTGAGTATGCACATAGCCCTATGCAAAAACATGTCTCTGCATGTGAGGGCCCTTCTAGATTCCCAGGAAAATGTCAGATCTTTCCAAAGCTTTAATAGGTGGGTCCAATAAGCTTTTTTAAAAGTGGTTTGGTCAACTCATCCTTTCACTACCTCGAGCAACTGCCACAGATTATTTCAACAAATATCCCTGGGCAAAAGTGTGTTTATACTGAAAGAGTTGTAACACAGGTCAAATACAGACAAGCATTGGGAGTAGGATTTTCCAAGGAATTGCCAGACAGGTCAAATAATAACAGTTAAGAATGGGGCTTTGTAGGAATTCCAACCCCAAATACATTCTCCAGTGGCTGCTAGACTGCTGGTTTTCAAGATAATTACAAGGCTGTTGATTTTCAAGGCTACCACAAATGGGAAGAGGAAGATGGGGATAGGGTAAGTTGAAACATCACAAAACTTAATGTTTTTATTGAGAATAAGTCTTTTTTCTTTTTTCTTTTGTTTTTTTTTTTGAGATGGAACCTGGCTTTGTCACCCAGGCTGGAGTACAGTGGCACAATCTCGGCTCACTGCAACCTCTGCCTCCCAGGTTCAAGCAATTCTTCTGATTCTCCTGCTTCAGCCTTCTGAGTAGCTGGGATTACAGGCACCCACCACCACCCCTGGCTAATTTTTCTATTTTTAGTAGAGACAGGGTTTCACCATGTTGGTCAGGCTGGTCTCAAACTCCCAAGCTCAAGTGATCCACCTGCTTCAGCCTCCCAAAGTGCTGGGATTACAGGCATGAGCCACTCCACCCAGCCCATTTTTCTTGAATAAATGTTCACAAATTATTATAAGCCTTGGTTTCTTAAAACACTGATTTTTGTTAACTTTTTCTAGTGTTCTCATTGCTTTTTATAAGAGAATTTTTTGAAAGTTCTTATGCCACTATTTCCATTGCTGTCACTTAATGTTTTCTATTGAGATACTAGACATTGGCACTCTGTAATATAAAATTAATTTTAAGAAGGTTTTAGTTTTTTTTTATGAAATCCTTGTGGGGAGCATATAGAAATTGAGCTGGATATAGTACAATTAAGCTTATTCATAGTTAGATAACTTAATATAATCAATGAGTTGATTAATAAATTTGTTTAGAACTAAAGAGAAGTCTCCAGTGGCTTGGTTTTTGCTTTCATAATTGAGGAGCTTCTGAACAATTTGGGTAAATACATAGAATATTTTTTAAATCAAACATTCAAAAGTAATTTTGATGGATTTTATTTTTTAATATTTTGATAGGCTGAAACATTCAGCAAAATAAATGTATAATAGCAAGACCCAATATAAAGTCCTGCATTTGTATTTTTTAAATTAATTATATCCTGCATTTTAGCGGAAGCAAATTTAATAGCAATTTGTAATGGAGAAAGAAGAGAAAAAAATTAAAAAGGAAGAAAAGAAAAATAGTTTTAGTTGACCACCAAAATGCTATGTCCTAATAATACAGCAAGTTATGGCTGATGCACACACATACATATCAACTGCTCTCAGAAACATTGATTAGTAATTAATTCAAAAGATGTTTGTTGAGCCCATGATATATGCAATCTACTCTGTTAGATACTATTGACATGAGGATTTGTGAGAAAAATCTTGGCTTTGTCCTCAATGTGATCACCATTTAAAGAGATAAATGAAAACAAATCGTAAAAAATGCAACAAGTATTATATCACAGATCATCACAAAATGGTAAGGGAACACTCAAATAGCAAGATTAATTCTGTTTGAAAGGAATAGTCTGGGTAAGTACGCTTTAACTGGCACGCAAGGGTTTGAAGATCATTCCAGGGACTGAAAATAAATTGCATGTACTGAGCATTTACATGGGTTTGGTCCTGGAGTAAACAATAAAAACAAAGCAGTCATGTCTTCCCTTGAATACCATGATCTAGTGAGTCACCCCCACCCCCAGCAGAAAGAGCTTTCTAATCCCCTCCAAGTAAAAATTAACTGAAGGGTCTTATTTATTAAATCGGCAAATTACTTCTGCTGTTAACTTTTCCTAGTTTCACACTGGTGACAGGTAAAACTTCAGTTCACTCTGTGACAAGTTCTATGGAACTATAGTTGGGTATTCAGTGAATTAGAGACGAGCAAAAAGGATTACAGTCATAAGCAACTACTCATAAAACGCTAATACGAAGCTAGTATAGTCATCAGACTTTTAATTAAAGCTTTGAAAGTAGTTCTACCTCGATAATATGTTGGATTCCTCTGAACTTATTACACAAGCGTTTTTCCAGTGAATTGCTACAGCAGCTCTGAGCACTGAACATGATTTATAATATCACAGATTGGATGACAGATAATGGTGGAAGCTAAAGATAATAAATAATTATTGGTACCATCTGGACTCATTGAAAAACATCCTTTTAAAAAGTGCATTTCAGAGCTCTACAAAAATAGAATTTGTGCAAAGAAAACAAAAATGTTAAATTTAAATTAGATGGGAGCAAAGATAGTAATTAAGAATTCACAGGGGAACATAGATCTAATTTAGAAGCAATTGACACAAAATTATTCATAAAACAGGATGGTTTTTCAGATTATCATCTATATTGATGAAGTAGAATAAGCTCTCTATTAATCTCTTCATGTCAAAGACAGTAAATGCCATGTAATCTAAGCTCTGGGGTCACCCTGATAGTTTTTCCAATTTTCAACTGAAAAATCTGGTTACTATTGACATTGAGGCACATTAAATTCACTGTGAAAAATACAACAATTATATATGCATACAAGCTATTTATTCTGTTCAGGTCTTTCTGCATCAACGGGGAATGAGTTAATCATACAAAAATGTTAGTGGATGGCTTTTTAAAGATATTAGATTTGGTGATCCTTCTAAACCTGTAACAGCATTTTTTTTTTTCTTGGCGCCTAGCTCCTTTCTGAGAAGGGAGAGGGAACAGGCTAGAATACCTATACATATTTCTGTCTGTGTTTCTCATAGAAGCAGCTCACAGAACGTAATTCCAAGAAAACAGTTTTAAGGGCGGTAGTCACAAGTGCATGTAAATATTTGCTAAGTGCCTATAAAATACAACACACACATTTTACACACAGCACTTTACCCTATTTTATTCAGCTCACAACACATGCTCAAGGAGAATACTATCTCCATCTTCCAGATAAGGAAGCTGACTTGCCCAAACTCAGATCTGTTTATACTATTTCTACAGCATCATGCAATAAATGAAGAGCTACAGGAGCAGTTAAATGGAGTCACTTGAAAATACAGGAGCTAGACCAGATTGGAAGCTAGAGAGCTGCAAATCGCATGGAACAATCAGGATACACTGTGTGTGTAAGGATAGGATTCAGGAGCACTGTTTCTTTCCTTTTACAGATGCTTGGCAGTCTCCCAATAACATGAACTTAAAGTGGGAGGTCTATGTTGAACAGCTGCCATGATCATATGTTGACAAATTTGTTACCTAATAAATCTTTATTTTACTTCTCTGAGAAGCTGCTGCAATTCAGTAAATATCTTCATTGCAGTAGCTTGATTAGAAGACATCAACACCTGAAGAAGCAGAGATACTTTTTATTATGATAAAATGACTTTGCTACTTTGCTAGCCATTGATCAGATTGTTACTGTGTGTTTAAAACCCACAACTTGTTTGTCCCTGCGAACATACCAAAACATTTTTATTCACAGTTTATTTCAGATCACTGAGCATGAACTGAGATTATGTTTGTCATCAACGAGAAAGAGATAAGGAAATTAGCAGACCTGTCAGCATGAAAGCTAAGATAGGTTTGTTTCACCTAGAATATGGATAAACACAAAGTATGCCTTGCTCTGAATTTCCATAATTTATTTACATGCAAACAAATCTCAAGTGTGGGGGAGGGGTTGGGGGAGGGAATATGTATCCAGCCCAAATTCTCCCCAGGAGTTTAGACAAGTGCTTACTGAAAATTCTCTTTAATATCCTATGTGAATCACAATCTTGATGCACTAAAAGCTGAATTTATTTTCTTCCCTTTCTTCCTATCCAACCCCATTGCAAACACCTTTGCCTCTTAGTAACTAACACTAGTAATTTCAGGCATAACTCTGAAATTTATCCTTAACTACACTTCTCCCTCTCCCTGAACCCTGTACCCCCAAAATCCTTCTAGGTTTATGCCAATCCCTTATTCCAACCCAAAATCTTTCTTCAGTCTGTCTACTTCTCTCCATCTCCATTACTGACCTAACTTGGCCACCTTCATCTCTTAGTGGACTTTTCAACAATCTCCTGACAGTTCCTCCCACTTAAAATGATCCTTTGAAGGTCCTCTTCAAGGAGAACTACAAACCACTGCTCAATGAAATAAAAGAGGATACAAACAAATGGAAGAACATTCCATGCTCATGGGTAGGAAGAATCAATATTGTGAAAATGGCCATACTGCCCAAGGTAATTTATAGATTCAATGCCATCCCCATCAAGCTACCAATGACTTTCCTCACAGAATTGGAAAAAACTACTTTGAAGTTCATATGGAACCAAAAAAGAGCCTGCATCGCCAAGTCAATCCTAAGCCAAAAGAACAAAGCTGGAGGCATCACGCTACCTGACTTCAAACTATACTACAAGGCTACAGTAACCAAAATAGCATGGTACTGGTACCAAAACAGAGACATAGATCAATGGAACAGAACAGAGCCCTCAGAAATAACACCACATATCTACAACTATCTGATCTTTGACAAACCTGAGAAAAATAAGCAATGGGGAAAGGATTCCCTAGTTAATAAATGGTGCTGGGAAAACTGGCTAGCCATATGTAGAATGCTGAAACTGGATCCCTTCCTTACACCTTATACAAAAATTAATTCATGATGGATTAAAGACTTAAATGTTAGACCTAAAACCATAAAAACTGTAGAAGAAAACCTAGGCATTACCATTCAGGACATAGGCATGGGCAAGGACTTCATGTCTAAAACACCAAAAGCAATGGCAACAAAAGACAAAATTGACAAATGGGATCTAATTAAACTAAAGAGCTTCTGCACAGCAAAAGAAACTACCATCACAGTGAACAGGCAACCTACAAAATGGGAGAAAATTTTCACAACCTACTCATCTGACAAAGGGCTAATATCCAGAATCTACAATGAACTCAAACAAATTTACAAGAAAAAAACAAACAACCCCATCAAAAAGTGGGCAAAGGACATGAACAGACACTCCTCAAAAGAAGACGTTTATGCAGCCAACAGACACATGAAAAAATGCTCACCATCACTGGCCATCAGAGAAATGCAAATCAAAACCACAATGAGATACCATCTCACACCAGTTAGAATGGCAATCATTAAAAAGTCAGGAAACAACAGGTGCTGGAGAGGATGTGGAGAAACAGGAACACTTTTACACTGTTGGTGGGACTGTAAACTAGTTCAACCATTGTGGAAGTCAGTGTGGCGATTCCTCAGGGATCTAGAACTAGAAATACCATTTGACCCAGCCATCCCATTACTGGCTATATACCCAAAGGACTATAAATCATGCTGCTATAAAGACACATGCACACGTATGTTTACTGCGGCACTATTCACAATAGCAAAGACTTGGAACCAACCCAAATGTCCAACAATGATAGACTGGATTAAGAAAATGTGGCCCATATACACCATGGAATACTATGCAGCCATAAAAAATGATGAGTTCATGTCCTTTGTAGGGACATAGATGAAATTGGAAATCATCATTCTCAGTAAACTATCACAAGAACAAAAAACCAAACACCGCATATTCTCACTCATAGGTGGGAATTGAACAATGAGAACACATGGACACAGGAAGGGGAACATCACACTCTAGGGACTGTTGTGGGGTGGGGGGAGGGGGGAGGGATAGCATTAGGAGATATACCTAATGTAGATGACGAGTTAATGAGTGCAGCACAACAGCATGGCACATGTATACATATGTAACTAACCTGCACATTGTGCACATGTACCCTAAAACTTAAAGTATAACAATTAAAAAAATGTTAATACAATTAGATTGTTCTCAAGCTTAACACCCTTCTATAGCTTTCTGCTACTGTTATCATGAAGAAAATAATCTTCCTAACATTGTACCTCATATGTCATGAATCACTCAGAGATACTCCAGCCATTCAGATCACCTTTCAGTTCCTTGCTCCAAGTTCTTTCTGGCACCAAGGCTGTCATCCATCTGTCCATTCTAGTTAACAGCTTCATCCCACTGTTTCAACCTAGACATGACTTTCCCCAAAAGATTCTCCCTAACCTGTGTCCTCCCCTCCTTGCCATCATCAGATTTTCTTAGCTTTTGCTAAAATGCACCTAGCCCTCCCTGTATCTTAGCCATTAGCACATTATATTGTAATTCTTCAATTGTCTCTTCTACTAGATAATAAGTTCTAGAAGGAGAAGGACAATGACTGGATTAATCACTGTTCTATCCCCTGTTTCTAATGCAATGCCTAATACTCAGTGAATGTTTAATTAATATTTGCTGAATAATTCAATGAATAGGTATTACTTGGCAGGCAAGTTATAAAGGAATCTAATCACATTGGATACTTTCAATATTTGGCTCTCCCTGCCTACAGAATTAAGCTAAACTCCTTAGCATGATCTGCAAGACCCCTTCAATTTGAATCCAACATTTTGGTATCATCTCCTATGATTTGCTCATTGGTCTGTTGAGAGTTCCCCAAACAAGAATTCCTTTTGGTTTCATAGTTTTGTTCCTTTCATCCCTAGTATTGAAATATCTTTTCTTACTGATATAGGAGTTAAGGAGAAATTATTTAGGCAGATAGTGAGGGTATGGGAGTTCTTGCTACGGTTTTCCTTTTAATGAAAAGCAGCCCTCAAATCATTTTCTTTTCTAACAAAGAGCAGCCTATAAAATCGAGCTGCAGACATAGACAAGCAGGCTAGAAGCTTGCATGGGTGAATGCCAGCAGTTGTGCCAACAGGAAAAGGCTACCTGGGACTAGGCATGTTCAAAATGGTGGCTCCATCTTCCCTTTTCCTTTCCAACCACACATGCGGTAGGGAGCAGACAACATGGTGCCTGCCAAGTGGAAAGCCCCTTTGCATAATAAAAAGATTAGGGTGGGGTGGCCAGCTTCCCCAAGGGCTAATTAAACATCACATTTGGTCCAACCAATCTGTGGTTCCTATGTACATCAGACACCACCTTTCAAGCCTGTCTATAATATCCGGTGCACTCCACCACAGGCCAGAATTCCATTCAAGTGTCTCTCTCTCTCGCAAGAGAGAGTGGTTTTCCTTTCTCTTTCTTTTGCTTATTAAACTTCCTCTCTTAAACTCACTCCTTGTGTGTGTCCTGTGTCCTTAATTTTCCTGGCACGAAGCAAAGAACCTCAGCTATTACCCCAGACAATGTCACTGCTTCATTACCTTTTAACCTTCTAAATCTACTTAGTTTTCAATGTTCAATTCAATTTCCATTGCTTCTCTGGAGCTGTTTGTAAGCCCCTCAGAAAGACAATCTTGTCTTACACTCAATATGCCAAATACAAACCTCTGAAAAAGCATTTCTCATTCTCTTGTAATCTGTTGCTTATGCATCTTATTTACCAGACTCATGGAAAAGGAATGATACTCTCTCTGAAATGCCCCCGCCTCCATAGCCCCCAGAACATGGTGGACACTTTGTTAATTTATGCTAAGGAATAAACTTCCCACCTATGATCATTCACTGTTGTTTTTGAACTTGCACTTGAACTTTCAGTTTCAAAAGACAATAATCTTACTATATTTGTTCTTCAAATTTAAGGTAATCTAACAGGTATCTTAGGTTATTGTGCACAGCATGTTAAGTAATTAATCAACTCAACACTTGAAGCCTGAAAGGACAACCATACTCTAAACACCATTAAAATGTTTCTTACTCATCTCCTGTATACATACTATGTTAAGCTTAGTCCTAGAATTTGTATTACCACTATAGTACCTAATATCAGATTTAGTAATAGACTCTACTGTCAACTACCTAACTTTACCACTACATGAAAATTTAAAACTTGTCATTAGCATTGCTCTTTTGTAGATTAGAAAGATGGATCATTTTTCTGCTGGCTTAATTTACCAAGATTCAAAGAAAATTGCTCTTTCTTCATTTTTCTTGTGTTAGTACCAATTATTATGAAATATATTGCCAGAAAGTAGTAATTGAGGTAGAAAACACACATTTGAAATGTTTCTGTCAAGTAAGCAAACATGTCTGTCAAGTAAAAGTTGTGTGAAATTTCTTTCACACAACTTATTTTGCAACTTTTCCTGTATGTGTGTGTATATATTAGTAAATATGTCACATGACTTTGTAGATACACTCCACACCCACCCCCACCCCAAATATATTCTGATCTTCCCATTCTGGCCACATCATGGCAATACCGGTTACTGCACTTACCTCATGCTACAAGCAACTATGAAACAGGACAAAAAATATAAAGCAAATGTTTTCAGATACTGGATAGCAGGCAGCTTCGGACTCTAATACTTGAGAGAAGGAAAACATATGTCAGCCCCACTACCATCACCACATTCTTTTTGCTTTCTGCCACTTACAGGACTTCTATGCTAGGCACTGCAGTCTCACTGAGCTGAAGAGGCAAAGATAAGAGTCTAGATCTAATGAAGTTGCTGGAATTTAGGGCTGTAAAGTGGGAGAAGTTTGGATGGGTGGCAGGATTTTATGTGTAGTTTCACCACACATCAGGATCAATAATTGAATTTAGCTAGACTCTGTGGTGACAAGAATGACTGCTGCAAAGGTGAGAGCCAAACAGAAATTTTAATAAAATTTAAATCCCAACAGCACTGGGAAGTGTTAGCATTCCAGCCAAAGTGAAAAGAGCTTTCTGAGCACGCCAGGCATTCAGTTGATGGCAGAAAGGCCACATTTTAGGATTAAAGATTATTTTCGAGAGCTGTTGTTCTCAAAGTGAGTTCCCCAGCTTCTAATGGGTCACTAGAAGCTTGGGGGATACACAAAGTCACCATAATATTTTCATAATAATACTAACACATTATTCCCTTTTCTCCCGTGTTAACATTTACACTGATGAAGGAGAATAACAAGTGATTAGAACTTCTCATAATTTAAAACCATCCTCAGCACCAAAATCTGCTAATAGCATTATATTCCTTACTGCAATGAAATAACAGTACAAAATTATTATTATTATCATCACTATATACATTTTTTCAGTTCAACATAAGAATATTCTTGATGAAGCAGTATAATTTCTTAATTGTATTAAATTTTGGTGCTAGGAATATGTATTTTATTAACAGTCTTTGTATATGCACAAAGCACTTCTGCTACATGCCAAAATACAGTAGCTATCTGAAGAAAAAGCATTCAGATAATAATTTTATTTGCAAGTTCACCTAAATGTTGTTTTTAAAGAACACCATTTTTACTTGAAAGAATAATTAACCAAATAGTTGATTATTCAGATTTAGATACTTTGTAGATGTTTTCTCAGAACTTTATAAAGTAAGCCTGTATCTTCAGGAAAACAACTGATAGTATTTGTAGTCAATAAGAAATACTCAGCTTTCAAGTAAAAATTATAATTTAGGAAAACTTGTATCTGCTTCCATAAGCATGACAATTTCCCATACTTAATGATTTTTCTAATGACACTGGTGAATATAAATTTCTGATATTATATAATAAAATGTGTCAACATTTGGAAGACCTTTATAACTCATGAACCAACGTTTACCAAATTATCAATACACAGTGTTACAAAATCCTGTATGGGGGAAAAAGCTATTAAAACTACAAGACAGCCCAGTGGATTTTAACATGTCAGAAAACCAAAAGGTGTTGATATGGTTTCATATTCCATTTTGTAACCAACTTCTAAGAAATTACTACTTGTGATGTTTTGGTTGGTATCAAAGGGAAATATCTTCATTTATATGGAAAAGCTATTAGAATTCTCATCACTTTTCAAACTACATATCTGTATGAGTCTGGATTTTTTTTTCACATATGATAACCAAGGCAACAAATCGATTGCAAAACTAGATAGACCACTGTTTTCCATAGAGCCAGATATTAAATTAGTTTTCAAAAGAGACCAATGCTACTTTCCCCACTAAATTTTTGCTTTGGAAAATATAGTTACTTTTCATTAAAGTATTTGTTAACATTTAATGCATTTATTGCTGTTATGTTTAATATATTTGTAATGAAGTATTTCCAAATTTCTCAGTTTTAATTTCTAATACAGTACACATTGGTAGAGATAACTCGCATAAAAAAGCTCTTTCAAGTGCTCAGTAAATTTTAAGAGACTAAAGGGATCCTAACATTAAAATGTTTGAGAACTGCTGCCCTCAAGTAAGGTACATGTCCTAGAATTAATGATAAAATGGAAACATATATTGTCTAATGGGGAATAAAACCAAGCTTTTCGGACCCAGATAGTTTACCAATAATTTTAACAGCCTTTCAGAGCAAAGCCCAATAACTTTTAAAGGAAGACAACATAAAGTAGACACACATATTTTAGTCTACAGTGTCCAGCATAAAATAAAAAATTACACAATCTAAGAAGCAGGAGAAGGGGCCAATTACCAAGAAGAATGGCAGCAATAGAAACAGACTAAGAAGACTAAGATGTTGGAAATGGAAGTCAAGAACTTTAAAAGATCTATCTAAACATAGTCAATAACTGAGACAAGAGACCTAATTAGTGAATAAGAGGGAAATATCAGCAGAGTAAGAGAAACCATAAAAAGAAACAAATGAAACTATTGTGGAAAAGTACAACATCTAAATTTTTAAAATAGATGGCTTTAATAATAGATTAATGATGGCAGAAGAGAAGGTCTATAAATATGAAGGCAGATTAGTAGAAATCATCCTACCAGAAGAAGAGAGGGGAAAAAATAGAAACACGAAACGAACAAAGTGTCACTGTAGACAATAAAGGTGGTTTAATTACCCACAACCGGAGTCTTGAAAGTAAAGAAAAGCTGGAATGGAGCAGGAAAAAAAAAAAAAAATCAAGGTTGCACTTGCCAAAGTTTCCCAAATTTGATGAAAATACAATAATCTATGGATCTTACAATCAGAAAACCACACTTTATTCATGTCATAAACAAACTGCTGAAAACCAAAGATAAAGAACAGAGTAAATCATAAAAGCAGCCTAAGCAAGGGAACACATATATATTACAATCAGGAGAACAATGACAAGAATAACAAATAATTCCTCATTAAGGAGGAAGAAAGGAAGCCAAATAAAATTAACGGCATCTTTACAGCAACAAAGAAAATGAGAAAAAAACACTGTGGAGCCTAAATTCTAATGAAAATATCCCTCAGAAAAAGATGAAATAACATATTTTAAGGCAAATAAATAAAAGCTAAGAACACTTTTCATCAGAAGATAATCTAAAAGAAGGTCTTCAAACTGAAAGGCAAAGACACAAGATGGAAATTCAGATCTGAAGGAAAGAAGACAGTGCCAAAAATTACAGATGTGGGTAATTTAAAGACAATATTATTTTACTTAATTTTTTAAAAGAAAATTGGTTGTTAAGAGTAAAAATAACATCGTGCTATAGGGTTCATATGTATGTAAAAATAAAGTATATTACAAAAATATTATTAGTTTGGGTAGGTATATTTATGCTACTCAGTGTTCTTATATTTTAAGTGGTGAGGTACAATAGTAACTCTAAATAGATTATGATTTTTAAAAGAGTGCATGTTATAATATTTACAGTAATTAAAAAGGTAATAAGAGGAATAGATTATAAGTTAAAATATAATAAAGATATTGAGATAGAATATTTAAAAGCATTCAATTAAAACAAAGGCAAAAAAGGCAGCAGAAAAATTGACACAAATAGAATGATGACAGACAAATAAAACTATCAATAATTAAATAAACACAAAAGGTAGAAATAGACTGAATACAATAATCAAGACCTAACTATATGCTGTCCAAAAAAACCTGCACTTTAAATATAAGGACACAAAAGATAAAAGGATAGAAAAACATATATTATTAGATCTTTAGAAAGCTGGTAAGCATGTATTAACATCAAAAAAATAAACTTAAGCAAGCAGTACTTGCAGTGATTTTTTTAAAAGAGATATCATAATGTTAAAAGAGTTAATTCATCAGCAAAACATAACAATCCCGAATATGTATACATCAGAGCTTCAAAGTATATAAAGCAAATGTGACTTAAATAAAAAAAGAGATTGCCAAATCCATAAGTTCATGATTATAACACTCCTGATGAGCAATTGATAGAGGTAGAAAAAAGGATCAAGAGGATTTCAAAGATTCATATATTACTAACCAAATTCATCTAATTGACATTTATAGAACACTAAAACAACTTTTACTTTTCAAGTTAACATGGCATATTCACAAAGAAAGACTGTATTCTGACCCATAAAACATGTATCAATACATTTTAAAGTATTAAAAATCTATGGAAAAAAATTCTGACACTAAAGAACTAAATTAGAAATAAATAATAACATACCTAGAAAGCTTCAAATATTGGAACATTAAACAACATAATATTAAGTCAATAATTGCTTAGAGAGGAAATTAAAAATTAGGAAAATATTTGGGTTTATTTCTGAGTTCTCTATTCTGTTCCATTGGTCTATGTGCCTATTTTTACATCAGTACCACGCTGTTTGGTGACTATAGCCTTATAGTATAGTTTGAAATCAGGTAGTGTGACACTTCCAGATTTGTTCTTTTTGCTTAGTCTTGCTTTGGCTATGCAGGCTCTTTTTTGGTTCCACATGAATTTTAGAATTGTTTTTTCTAACTCTGTGAAGAATGATGGTGGTATTTTGATGGGAATTGCATTGAATTTGCAGATTGCTTTTGGCAGTTTGGTCATTTTCACAATATTGATTCTACCCATCCATGAGCATGGGATGTGTTTCCATTTGTTTGTGTCTTCCATGATTTATTTCAGCAGTGTTCTGTAGTTTTCCTTGTAGAGGTCTTTCACCTCCTTGGTTAGGTATATTTCTAAGTATTTTATTATTTTTTTTGCAGCTTTTGTAAAAGGGGTTGAGTTCTTGATTTGATTGTCTGCTTGGTCACTGTTGGTGTATAGAAGAGCTACTGTTTTGTGCATATTAATCTTGCATCCAGAAATTTTGCAAATTCTTTTATCAGTTCTAGGAGCTTGCTGGAGGAGTCCTTAGGGTTTTCAAGGTAAACGAGCATATCGTCAGCAAACAAGAACAGTATGACTTCTTCTTTACCGATTTGGACGCCCTTTATTTCTTTCTCTTGTCCAATTGCTCTGGCTAGGAGTTCCAGTACTATGTTGAAGAGGAGTGGTGAGAATGGGTGTGCTTGTCTTGTTCCCCTTCTCAGAGGGAATGCTTTCAACTTTTCCCTATTCAATATTATGTTGGCTGTGGTTTTCTCATAGACGGTTTTTATTATATTAAGGTATGTCCCTTGTATGCAGACTTTGTTGAGGGTTTTAATCATAAAAGGATGCTGGATTTTGTCAAATGCTTTTTCTGCATCTATTAAAGCTCAACATGGATTAAGGACTTAAACCTAAGACCTGAAACTATAAAAATTCTAGAAGATAACATTGGAAAAACCCTTCTAGACTTTGGCTTAGGTAAAGATTTCATGACCCAATACCCCAAGGCAAATGCAATAAAATATGCTGCAGTATATACTGTTCAGGTGTTGGGTGCACCAAAATCTCACAGATCACCACTAAAGAACTTACTCATGTAACCAAATACCACCTGCACTCTAATAACTTATGGAAAAATAAAATAAAATAAGAAAAATTTAAAAAAGGAAAAATTGGGAAAATATTTGTTGACATACTGAACATGCACCATATCAAATTTATGAAATACACCTAAGGAAGTACTTAAATAAGTTTAGTTTCAATGCTTATTTATTCAACACAAAGGTCTAAAAATGTGTTTCCACATTAATAAGTGAGAAAAAAAAACAAACATAAAGGGGGTAGAAAAAAAGAAAATAACAGCAGAGATCAATAAAATACAAAATTCATAACAAAGAAAAAAACAAAAATCATTCTTTTAGAAACATTAGTGCAATCAATATACCCCCGTAAGACTAACTAGAAAAAAAAGAGAAAACACGAAATAAGAATTTAGAGAAGAACATCATTACACATACAAAGGATATTGAAGAAGTATTATGAACAATATTCTGCCAAAGCTTAGAAGAAATAAATTCATGGAAACATTAAACTATCAAAATTAACACAAGAATAAATAAAATCTGAATAACCCTACATATACTGAGGAAATTGCATTTATTAAGACAAAAACTAAAAAAAAAAGACACACCAAGTCCAGGAAATTAATATTTCGCTATTTAATTGTATCAGTTATTCAGGAAAAAAAATAATAATATTTACCTTACAGAAGTCCTTTCAAAATAAAGCAAGATAGATGTGTTTTGTGCAATATTATGCAATAAATAAACCTAAACATAAAAGTTTAATTTTGGAGTCTTTTCTAAGATACCAAACACTAACATATCAATGGCATTTGGTAAACAGAGATTTCTGAGAGATGATCCAAAAAGCTTGAATCAGTTATTAATTGGCGTTTATTCCAATTAAAACTTCTGCTCACCAAAATACACCATTCAAAAGGCCAAAATGTAAGCCTTACACTTGGAGAAAACATTAAGATACTTGTATCTGACAGAATATGGAAAAAATTTCTACAAATCAATAAAAAAACACACAGGCCAATGTTTTAAATGGGTAAAAAATTTGAACAGATACCTGACAAAAGAAAATATCCAAATTATTAATAAGAACATTAAAAGGTTCTTGAACTCTGCTGACAGAAAAACTCAAATTAAACTATAATATGATACTATTTCACACTCACTATTATAGCTAAAATCAAAAAGGCCCAAAACACCAAGTATTGGTAAGAATAGGGAGTAAGTGGAGACTGATTCATTGCAAATAAGAAACTAAAATGGTAAAGGCACTTTGAAAAACTGTTTG
Organism: Homo sapiens; assembly: GCF_000001405.40. NCBI lineage: Eukaryota > Metazoa > Chordata > Mammalia > Primates > Hominidae > Homo > Homo sapiens. The sequence goes on along the minus strand of NC_000011.10, from coordinate 96,668,731 downwards.
GCACTTTCTTATAAAGTTAAATATGCATCAACTCTATAGGCAAGGCATTTATCTTATGTTGCCAATAATTAAAAACTCTCAAATGTTTATCAATAAGAATATGAATAAACAAATGAAATACTAAGAACATAAATGAATTTCAAACCCAATATATTGATCAAAAATCCAGACACAAAGGAGTAGATACTATATAATTTCATTTATACAGTACAAGAGCAGGCAAAATTTAAGTATAGTAAGAGAAAGCAGAATAGTGGTTTTCTACGGAGCACTAGAAAATTTTCCAGAATGGAAATGCTCTACCTAGACTGAAATGCTTGTTACATAAACATACACATTTGTCAAACTCTGCATATTGTACATTTATCGTTGTCTTGTACAGAGATTTCACTTCAGTAAGAAAATTACCTTCCTGCAAGAAGCGTCCTTTAGTTGATTCTACCCAACTCTAAATGGACAACCTGAAATTATCAGTTCCTAGTTCAATTTGCAGCTCTGCTAGAACTTAAAATTATGCTTTTGTGTGGTTTATATATGTTTTCTCATGTATGAAATTATATAATTGGAGCACATGGCTTTATAGTATAACTTGCAGATATAAAATTTTATATGTCTATACTTATTTCGATTCAAAAATTGAATAATCCAGGTCATTTTTTGATTGAAAAATTGAATTGAAAGTTCCCACAGTGTCAGGGTCAATCATATATGCTTTTAAATTTCCATAATACTTCTCCCAAATAAGGTTTTTGTAAGAGAATCAATAATGAAGTTTGATTACAGTAGATTGTGCATTTTCATTTGCCTTTTACACAGCATCAAGATGGTGTCGACATGAGAAATAAGGAGGGGAAAAAGAAATATATCCAAGTCAGGGATGGAAAACCAGGTTTTATATCGGATATAGTGTAACAACTACCACTTTAATGAAAGATATTTTTCCATGATCTTGTTGATTTCAGGGAATATTTAGAAATATTCCAAAATTATCTTTTTAACACTGGTATCAAGTCCTGAAGGTTTCTGAGGCATACTTGATCAAGGTGTATATCTCTGTAAATGTTTGCCTGCCCAAAAACAATTCAGCATAATGTTAATTCTATGAGATTCAGTGTGATCCTAAATTGCAATTTGGCATCAGTTTAATTTCAATTACTGTATTCAGGACAGCATAAATAATCCTATTTACACATTTAATTCAAGTGTACATAATACACTGTGGAAAAGAATAAAATTTGATAGAGGAAAAAAATTATCTTATGTTTAAACACAAAATTGAATAGGATCCTCATATTTTGAAAGCTGGGGTTTTTTTTTTTTTTTTTTTTTGGCCTCTAGGTATATCCTGGTTGCTTTTTAGTGAGAAAAGGGCAATCTATCTGCATATCTCCTGTATTTTTGTAGAGCTCCATTAACTGCATGCCTACAATCATTTTGATACATTTTGATATGAACACTTAAAGAAGGAAATGGAGGATTTTTGCTTTATTTTAACTTGCAGACAATTCTTAAGATATTGGTATGCTCTTTCTAAATAAGTTCTAATTAGAGTTCTTCCTTAGCACTTTGGATGTTCTCGTAATTAGTAGGGTCTGCCTTCAACCAACCAATGAAGAAAGTATGAAAGCTCTTTAACGTTCCCAGCCTCCCAAGCCTGCTGTCTCCTTGTGATTCCTTTCCTTTTTCTAAATGAACCACTTTCTCCTTTTCAGGAATTCAAGATTTTTCTACTACTTCCTGGTATTAAAATACAATAAAAAATCTTCAGTAAAATACAAAGCAATAAAGCATACATCACCCAAGATGTATCATACGATTCTCTATCTCATTATCCTGCCATATACTTCTCCCCAGCACATTTCTGTTTGTTTATTGCATGCTTCTCACACTAGTACATTGTTTTCTCTTTCAACTGTTTGTGCCAGCATATACAATGGAAATTAACTTTTGGATATTAAATCTGTGAGCAGAAAATTTGCTATATTCATGTATTAATTGTAATAGTTTATCTGTAGATTTTTAACTATGTATGCATTCGTAGTGTCTGAATAATGAATTTTATTTCTTCCTTTTCAATCTTTGTAACAACAATTTTTCCTTGCCTTATTGTACCACCCTCAATCATCTAGTAAAATGCTCAGTAGAAGTGCTGATTGATATGCTTGTTTCATTCCTGTTCTCATAAAAAATCTTCCCCTTACCTTTACATGGATACCCTTTATCATATTAAGTATAGAGAAGTCTGTGATATCACAAGCTTAGCCAAGATAACTTTCAGTAAGAGTCACTTTTAATAACAATCATACCATCTCTAGCTTAGGAAAGAGGCTATCTGCCTAATTTTTCAAAGACTAGATAAAGTTCTGAAAACTGTAAGTCATCTTTTTCTATATCTTTTATTATAGTCCAATGTGTCTGAGACATCAATTTTATTTCTAAATCAATTCCATTCAAAGTTCTTGGCCAAAAGTATTGGGAGAGACTTGCCTTAATCTGTCAGTCCATCATAGGATGGAAATTCACTTCTTTTTCTGTTAAAAGGTAGCTGAGCTCCTCTCCAGAGTTGTGTATCACTAAATAAGTCTAATGACACTTTGTAAATCAGCCTCAGCCAAATACTGTGAACTGACAATAAAATTATTTGAATAGGAAATAGCCTATGCTTTACTAAGGAAATAATACGACTAAGGAAATGGTATATAAGAAAATAATAATGTGTAGCCATGTACTCTTGAAAAAAATGGTGTAATGATAGGATCATTTCTCCAACTTTTATGTCCTACCACAGGCAATGGCCTATCAGCTTTCATGTTTCTCATTAATGGATGTGAATGAAAGGAACCAAGTGATCAATGTACTTTTGTTCACTTCAGTAACCAGAGTAATTCAGAGTGGCTCCAAAAGACTATCATAAAGACTTAATATATTCTTTCTTTACAATTTTTATTTAAAGCTACAGCATGGAAATTTGGCCTATAATAGTCAAGAGAAAAATAATTACTCTCTCCAGGGCTCTATGTCAATTTTCCATCTAAATATGGATTTTTATTAATGTTCATTATAATTTCACATAAGCATGAAGAAACTAACATTTTATTGCAATTTTCAAGGGAGAGAAAGTACAAAGTAGTGTCTTATTCCAAATGACCTAAGAGGTACTATGAGGAAAAAGTCATTTTCTAAAACTATGCACTTATTCTCCAGCTTCCAAATTCATGACCTGGAAGCACAGGTACTCAGTAAAGGCTGAATAATAATGATGATGTTACATGTCAAAGAAAAGTTACTGAATTAAAGATCATACATAAAAATGTGTGTGTGTGTGTGTGGCTTGCATAAGAATATTTTATCAGATGTAGGCTCTAAATAGTCAGACGAGATCTTGTCTAAGAGGAAAAGCTCACATTTTTACTTATTTTATTCACAATACAGTTTATTTGAAAAAAAATCTCTATCAAAATCATCTACCATGTGGAATACATTCATAGTCAGAGCAGACTTTCAGGCTAAAAAAAATGCAGTACTAACAAACATTTTCACTAATAGGTTGAATCTAAGGAATATATTTAGTTTCTGAATGAAAATGGCTTATTTAGCAAATGCTTGCCAGCAGTGCCCATTCAACTCATAAGCAATGGAGTTGAAATAAAAACTAATTTTTTGAACCCAAGTTCAAATTAAATGCATTAAATTACTCAGCCTTTGCAAAAATCCTGACTTCTTGAAAACACAATGAAATTAGTTTACTTAAATAAAGAAATAACATATTTATTTATAGTCACTGTTTTGAATCCACTCCTCCCAGGCCACTCCTAATTTTAGGGGGTAAAGTCAATAGCAGTTTCATGGACTTTTCTATTCACAGTGATAATAAAAGAATGGACCTGGGGCACAATGGCCATCTGTACTACTGCTGTTACAGACAGTGCAGTCAAACTCTCTTAACTCTTACCCTACTGCTAAGAGGTCAAGTCCCAGTTTACTTAGAATTTGACAATGCCACCATCACTCTACCCCCAACTTTCTTAACTATCTCTCACATAACTATCACCTCTACCCCCAGCCCCACCACCCAACTTATGGTTTCTCATAGATTCACAGAAAGCAAAATTTGTATTCTCAACCACCTGTGGGTCAACACCTAAACAGGAGCTTTGTAATTTCACCAAAAGGATGCTTTCTATAATAACTTTATTTCCATCAGTTATAAAAAAAAAAAAATTCTGGGATGAAAACAACAGAACAATAGACAACTTCACTTGTGGACACCATGATTTGATTCATCCATTTCCATGTGTCTCAAGATTAAACAAAAAAATTTCCAACCATAGAAAGCACAAAAGCCAATCTTTCTCTGAGGGATTACAAAAACAGGCAGCAAGCCAAAGTTAGCTATCAGGCTTCAATTTGCCAAACGCTGCTCCAGAGAACAGATTGGAGATAAACATGTGATGAATCAGATAATCCATGTAAAAGACTACCACAGAAATCCACATAGCAGATAATGGTGGCTTGAACTCATGTTTTGCTTTAGGAATAGAGACAAGTAAATGAAATTTGGATATATTTCAGATTAAACCGATAAGATGTGGTAATGTATTAACTATAGTACACCATATTCTGCACTCTTTCTGATGACGATTCACATTTAGAAATAAGATAAAATTTCTTAGAACACTAAAGAATTTTAAGTATTTTGTTTTATTTTGTTTGCAAATTACCCATGATACCTCTGGGCTTGAAACTAGGGCCATGTTTCTTTTTTTTTTGTTTTCCTATTTTAAAATTTATTAGAGCTATAAGAGGTTTTTAGACAATTGACATATTTATAAGACAAATAAAACATACTACATTTTTAAACATGGTTTAAAATCTTTCCATGAGTTTCATAAACTAAATTTGTAAATAGGATCAAACATTAATTAAAAGCCCACTCGAGGTCCCCCTTTTGCACAGAAAATATTGTTCAGAGCTACTTTGATTTTTACAATTTAATCTTCAATCTGTTAAAGATAAAATTTTTAAAATCTAGGTATCTTTTAGGTTCAATTTGCAGATATGACTAGCCTTTATAAATATAACAAATGTTACAGCCATCTTTTCTGTTATAAACCATATAGAGTTAGGATTAGTATTAGAGAGAATAGGCTGGGTTGGGGAAGGTCTCACAAGGAAGATGTCATTTGGGTCTGGAAGGCTCAGAGGTATTTGTCTGTCAAAGAAGGACAAGGGAAAGCCTTGGAATTAGAGAAAATAGGCTAAGAAAATGTGTTGAGTTGTAAGAATATGCCACATTGGGGAATTTTCTAGTCCTGCAACGGGAAGAACTATAAAAGAATGAGATATGAAAGAGAATATTGAACTTGATTATAGAGTGCTTTCTTTAAAGCCATGCCAAGAAACTTGTATAGTTCTCTTAGTTTAAGTCAAGTTTAAAGTGTGGAGATACACTAAATACAAATAAGGAAAGAAAAACTCTTCCTTCCCTAACTATCTACTCTGGTAAGCTAAAAATTCATAAAGCTCATAGCCTGCCTGAAGGCAATAATAAAATAGGACAAAAAATACCATTAAGACCTTATTATAGCCACTCTAGCAGTTAGGACCTTATTTCATGGGATGAAAATGCAGCATTAAAGCTTTACCAGAACAATCTATAATGCTGCTCTTTTTAATTCCATTTAATGCTTTTCTGACTATTTCAAAAAATAAACTAGCTGATCGATTCATGATACCAGTTGTCGTAATTTGTAATATCAACACATTGGCTCTGCATAAAACATACCCCCAACCCAAACTGAGCAGAGGGGTTCATACTGAGGAGTCATGGAAAATACGAGAGACGTGAAGCAGTGCATTATGTTTAGCTGTGCACTTTTTCAAAATGTCTCGATATTGACCAAGAAGATCTCACCTGGTAGTCCTGTCATCCTTACAGCAGTTTCTGTTCAGAGTGTTTGGATATACAGGAGCCTGTGCTTATGCATTTGGCCCCAGAGATTCTGATAAAAACTACACACCCTGTTGCTCAAAGAACAGCAACTAAACATCAAAGACAAAAAGATAACTTTGAACTTACAGATACCTGTGTTATGGATAAAGAATTCTGACCATGCCATAACTGCTCAAAGAGCATATAAATTACTCTCAAAATAATCAAAATTTAAGTATATAGATAATGACAATACTGACCGTAAAATTAAGTAATCCTAGCAGTGAATAAGAACAGAATATAGGATATAGGACAGTATCATGTGTCGTAAACATAGAAATAAGTTCAGGGTAGCATATGTAATCTTAGCACTTGGAATAAATCTCTGGACAGGAAGCCTTAATACTGTTCCTCTTGAGCTTTCTATGTGTTGTCCCATTCAAGGTTAACACTCAAATTTTTAAAATCTAGAAACACACCTCTCTTCTCATACACACACACACACATAAATCCCTTCAATATTTAGTTGTCCTTCATATAGACTATGAAATTTAAAACAGACATTTATCAGCAAGAAAGATGGAAAAACAGTGTGTGTTCAAGTCACGAACAAGCATTCTCAATTTTATTGTTCCTAAATGTCAAGTAAAGGGACTAATTGGAAAGGAATGACTAGTGATGATGCAAAGAAGCCAGGAAGATTTGTGGGGCACAGAGAGATGAGCACAGCTCTGTCAAATAAATTATTTAGGGAGTGAAGTGTTAACAATTTCATGTTTCAGAAAAGGAGTATCTTGACCATTGACAGAAGGGAGAAAAATTCGGAATCTAGAAATAAAAATAAATTTCTAGGTTCACCTTGGTCATATATACTCCAAATTCTAACTACAAAGGCCAATATATGCATTTTTGTAATGTCCTGTATTTTCAAATATTGCTTTCTGTTATGCTCTCCGAATGCATATTTTTAAGATTCCATGGTAAACTTCTCCTTCTTTTTGTATGTTTTGTGTTTAACACATCATAATGATTTGCAACAAAATAAAGGCCTGTTTTCCAGAGTATAATAAATTCAGTATCAAATAAATATGTACCTATTCCAAAACTATGTTCCAGGAAGCTATAAACTGGGTCTTAATATACTATATGGATTACACACAAGAAGTTGCAATGCATACTAGAGTAGTGATTCTCAACTGGTGGGACAGTTGGGGAAGAGCAATAACATTCTCTAGCAAAGGAGATTTTCCAAACGTGAGTGTACACACACATATACACACACACACACACACACACACACGAAATTAGGGAACATAGCCTCACTGTCAGTCCTTTCAAGTCTGCTGACTAAACACCTCCAGGGCAAAGTAATTCCTCCTTTTTATGAACAGCTTTAGTAATTACCAAAAGAATTACATGTTATATGCTCATATGCCCCTTTTTCAAGGCTCAATATTGGTACTATTTCTATATTATGGGTCCACTTGGAATGAGATCATTCTTTCTTTTACATGATTGTATCAGAAATTTTAAGAGAACAATCAGAGTGCAACAACTGCCAATTCCATCCAGTTTATTCCTTAAATATGTTAAAGGACATCAAATTATTTCTCAAAGAAGCATGGAAAATAACTTTTGAGATCTGTATCAGTCAGAGATCAGCCAAAGAAGCAGCAGATCGATCGATCTATCTACCTATATGCATATTTATATATCTGTCTGTGTATATGTGTATATATCTATAGATTTAAAGAGAGATTTGACCTTATGTAATTGTGGAAGCTGGTTACACAGTGCCTGCAAGGCTCATGCATCTATATTTGATGGAGGAGTCTGAAGTATACATATAAGGTAGTAAGAAAGCAAAGACAGACATTAAGTAAAGGAATAAATAACTCACTCTGTGAGGATGTCTTGGAATCCACAAAGATGTACTGGAACGTCTATTGGTGTCTTGTGATCTCAAAGTTTTCAACTTCGATGATGGGTTGATCTTCAGGGGAAGCTGGCATCCTTCATCATGTTGCTAACCATGGACCTGGCCTAGAAGTAAGAGGAGCTGAAAGAGGAAATCCAGCAGGAGCTGAAGGAGCTTGGTCCAGCTGCTGCCCATGCCAACAAGGTAAGCCAGCAGATAAGTCTCAACGCAGCTTATGGCTGGTGCTTCACTTCCACCTGCCAAACCTCTCCCAAAACGTCTAGTGGCCCATACTGACCAGAAACCGTTCTGGAAAGGGAGCTGTTGGAAAATAGTTCCAGCTGAGCAAGACTGAAACAATACAAACCCACCATATTGTTTAGCCATTTTTGTCATTAAGTAAAAGCATACATTCCTCATACTGAAATAATAATGCATCTATCTTCTTGCTGATTTTTACAAAAGGAATAAAAATTATTTCATGGATCTTGAATGCTGCATATTCCACAAATGGCCCCTGTGTGCAATATGAGTGTCCCCAAGTCACAGAGTAGCATGAGGGACAAGGAGACCTAGAGGAGACCATGAAGATCATGTATTCATTTTACTATGTCTGTTTTATAGTTAAAGAAACAGACTCAGCAAGGTTAGTGGGTGGAATCAGATACACAGTCTTTCTCAGGCAAGAGCCGGAGCTAGAAGCCATATCTCCTTTCCATCAGTCTGGTGTTTTTATATATAATTCATATATTTGTGTAATTTATAAACAATAAATGTAAAAATAATATTATTGCTCAATATTGTTATTATTCACACTGCCATTTTTCTTTTCCTTTCACTTGGGAAAAAGCAGAGGTTGAATTTTAAGATTGCCTTTACACAGTCTCCAAATCTACTATGATTCTCTTAACTTCCTCTACAATAGCTTCTTCTTCAAGACTTCACAAGTTTCTGTTTTCTGTGTATTTCATTTCTACAGTTATTTGAATTTATCAGCTAAATTGATGCATGCATTTCTGTTTTTAAATCCATATTGAGAATGAATTAGAGTCAACAAAAGCAGTATGCTTTATTGTTTATCTACAGAGTGTCTACTTTCTGATTCAGATAGAAGTTCAGCTTTCTATTGCTTTAGGCATAAAATTAAATTGGAAAGCAATACACACCTTAATTAAGTGATCCATAGTCATTCTCTTGTACGAACTATTTCAGCACCAACAGTGTTTTCTGCTGTATAAGCTGCATCACCATCCTTGTTCAATGTAGTCTTGATTGAAGAACTACCTAAACTTGACAATTAATGCAGACAGACATAAATGTGTGAGTAAATAAGATAACATCTAGGAGAGAGGAGAAATCTTATATACAAAACAAACTATAACCAATGTGCTTTTGTTATAATAATATAAGAAGATTCTTATCAGTGTTTGCTGTTTTGTTTCCAAATCCACTCTTGTCCCTGTCTACCAACATTTAAAAAATTAGTTGATAGTGTGCTGCAATTGCAAAGGTGAAATGAATAGATTAGGAGTTGCACAGCTGTTTATGGTTTTGGTTTATAGCTCTGGGACATCCCATTCTGGAGACATTCCGTTCCAGTTCATTTTAACAGTAATTAGAAGTACCCCCATAACGAGGAGTTTGCTGTTGGAAACAACTTCATTAGTTTGGGTGATTTTATTGGTTTCCTTTAGGGTGAGGAACTAGCACTAATAGTTGTAATTTAATAGGAAAATTACTGAAGCAAGAAAGATTCCACTGAATCTTAAATGAGGCATTAGACAGAAGTTTCCTTTCCAAATAATGAAATATAAGACTACCGCCTCTACCTTTAAAATTCCTATGTAAATGCATATAAATTAGCATGAAAGGACTATTTGACTTAAAAGCCTTAATATTGCTTAAATGAAACATTGAGTTCTCATACCAAAAAATACAGGTGAAATTGACATAAATTGAAAATGCTTGTGTCCATGTAAGGTATTTTTCTTCACACTTTATTTAAAGTGAGGTAGAGTCAACACAGTTGGCCTTCGTGGAAGGAATTTATTTTCCTTTGGATAAGGAGGTTAATTCACTTTTCTAAGCTTGTTCTTTTCTCGTTTCCATCCTATCCCCTCCCGTTATTCCCCTCACACATCATCTCCCTAAGTAGCGGCATTTTCTTTGTCACAAGAAGGATTAATGGGACAATATTATCATCTCTGGTACACACATGATTCTCTATCTACAGAACACTTTATAATCATTTAGGAATCCTTCCTCCCACTTCCAGTGAACTATGACGCAGCATTACTTTTGGTGTTTTAGAGATGACAAAATAGAAATTTATGCAAGATTTTAAAGCAGATTAGCAACAGCTTAGTAATCTGAGATGTAAGTGTCTAGCCTTCTTCTCGGAGACTGTATTTTGACACCTCCATCATTTGGAAATAATGATCTTTTACCATAAAACATTTTAATATTTCAAAATGTGTGGAATTTATAATGGCTGGGTGCTAAAACAAAGAAGCAAATATAAGATAAAATGTATGTTTTGGCTTCAAGCTGATTGTTCGGTTACAAAATGATAGTCTTCTCATGTCTGGGCAAAGATATGCCTCAAAATCTATGAATTGTACATCCACAGAGTAGGAACTACGTCTGTCATGATGACTTCTGCGGCCCAAATACACTGACTTTTATAGCTCGAATACATGACACAGTGCTTGACAATGGGGAATTTTCCATTAAAAACTGGTTGAATAAATGTTGGGCCAAAAAGTAATATATAAAACAAAAAATGGTCTATCCTACTGACCTTTAGAAACTAAAGTTTCTTTCACATTGTTGAAGAGTTTGATGTCTATGAACATTCTTCCCACTTTGTTTCTACAAATCACTTCTCTTTATACCAACCAATTTTCAGCTTCTCCATCCCACCCCACTTATCTATCCAGCAGAGCTGAAAAATAACAGACTCTCTCAACTACTCTTTTTCATTTCTACTGGGTGATTTCTCACTTTTAAATTTCTCAGGTCTTGGATTAACAAGCATCACTGACAATAGGTGAGAATCCAAGGAAAACATTTTAGATTGAATGACTTAAATTTGAAAAAAAGGAAAACATAGGGAAAAGAGTAGGTATTGGGGGGGAACCAAAACCCTCCCTAAAGAAGAGGGTGGATGCATGTTCTCACTTACAAGTGGGAGCTGAGCAATGGGAACACATGGACACAGGGAGGGGAACAACGCACAGTGGGGCCTGTCAGAGGAGTTGGGGAAGGAGAGCATCGGGATAAACAGCTAAGGTGCATGTAGGGCTTAATACCTAGGCGATGGGTTGATTAAGTGCAGCAAACCACCATGGCACAAGTTTACCTACGGAACAACCTGCACGTCCTACACATGTACCCCAGAATGTCAAATAAATTTTTTAAAAAAAAGTGGGTGGAGATTTGGAGTCATGCCAAAAACTAAAGAGAGGAGAATAGAAAGACAGAATTGGAGGTCAATCAGAAGAAGACACATTTTGTGAAGATATTAATTCCTTAAATATTTCCTCCGTGAAATGCTGGGTGAAGGATTATGTTTTCTATAACTTCAACTATTTAATGTCATGTTGTAATCCTCTTTGAAATTGACACGTCTTCAATAAAGACTTCATAAAATTTCAAATACTTTTACACAACCTATTACAATAGTTCCAACATGTTCAAAGGAGGAAGATTGTAAACGGGAAAGGAAGACTTTCCCACCCCCAAGTCTACAATGGCCTCAATGGAAAAAGGATATCATCCTCAAAATTAGTCTAAGAAACAAGTGTTAGTCAACACCCTGGAAAAGGCAGTCCTCAACATAACTGGAAGAATTTCTCCAGTATGTACAACACAAAAGAACTAATAGATATTCCTAGTTATAACTTCAAAAAAAATGGTATCCCCCACCTCTGTGAAAATGGTGGCACTGCGTAGACCACATGAAAGAAGAAAGTTCCAAGTCTGAAGACAGAAGAGCTAAGAGAATTCACCTGCGGCATTCTATTTATTCACAAAACAGGAGATTGTGTATGCAGTGATAATAGTAATAACAAGCTCACCTCAGTATGTAATTTAACATGGCCTAATGTAAACTAAGAATATGTTTATCAAGAAAATAGGCAATTGTGTGCAATAAGCGGCTCACAGTAAGTTCATGTGGCTGTTGAATAATATAATTCTACCCTTAATTGCTGAACCACTAAAAGTTAGGTAGTAAATGTATAATTCATTGTCACACCAGACATTACAGAGCATGAACCTAAAATAAATGCCATACAAATTCAGACATTGTGAAACCATATTTCAATGGGTCAGTACGGTAGGCCTGTGTATTTATACATGTGTAAGAATCAAGAAGTTTAATAATAAAAAAGTACTAAAATTTTTCATTTCCTCAGTCATTCCTCAGATTAACCAATAATTCCAAAATTCCTTCCAATTCCATAGATGAAATAGACTAGTCAGTTATTGCTACAATAATGTAGCATAATGAATTACCCCCAAAACATACTAACATAGAATAACTGCACATTTATTTCTTATGCACAAGTCTACAGGTCACCTGGAGTTTGGCTGTTCTAAACTGAACAGAGAGGGCTTGTTTCCAAGCTATGAATTGGGTCCAGATTGGCTCCATGTGTCTGTCGTCTTCACTTGGCAAGTGGTGACCTGAGTCATATTCTTCTCATGGTAAAGATCAGGGGCCCAAGACAACAAGCCCAACCTTGCAAGCCCTTTTAAGCTCCCATGCATGTTTCATTTTCTAACATGTCATTGAACAAAGCAAGTGACATGACCAAGCCCAAAATCAATGTGACAGAGAAGTATATGCCTTCCATAAAGTGAACTTTTCCTGATTAATAACTTGATGTCCCAAAGTGAGGGAAGAATTTAGTCTGGTGGAAAAACCTGTGTTTCTAGCTCAATAACTGAGGACACATGCAACTGCAGGAAAAGAAGGATCTTTGAAAATATCAGAGAGCAATTTTACTCAAAATAGGCCTACTTCGCTTCAGAAACATCCAAGAACATTTAGAGTAAAGGTTATAACAAAGAGTAAGTAAAATAAAATTTGGGCTAATTCAATGCATATGCAATGAGCAGTCTAGTATGTGTCAAGCACTGCACCAAGCCCTGAGGAAAAAACAAATGCACAGAAACTTCTCTATGAAACTGAGAACCCAAGAGAACAGTGAATTGTGATTTCAGGTCTGGGGCCTAAAGGGGCAAATAACATGTCTCAGAGAGTAGACGAGATCTAATGGCAGCATCAACATTAATTCTACTTGGCTCTCATAGCAGAATCAGGAGCCAAGGATGCACACCTTTGCAATAGGATAGGTGTGAGACTATGGAATGACATGGAATATGGCCTTTGTTACTGTAAGAAGCTCCCACACACAAGTCTTTGAGCCACCAAGAGAGATTTGAGGAGGCTACAGTTCCAGGAATTTGTGGTTGCATGAGGCCCTATTTCACTTCCCACTGGGGAACAATGAGAATACCCGTTGTTTATTTTAATTTATATCCAAAAACTATTTCTAATAATTGACTTGAAAAAGATTTCAGGACAGCTTTATTAGGAGAAAACTAGAAGAGAATGTTTATCATAAACACTTAAGCAATTCGTAATCATTAAGCAATTTTCCTAGGCACAGCATGAGTTTGCTGCACTAAACCAAAGGCTCGTTTCCTGGATCCTATGTAATAATGCCTTTATCATTGTCACCATCATCATCATTACTACTGACATTTTCAAAGTACCAGAAACTGTACAAAGTGCCTGACCTATATTACCTCATTAAATTCTGAGACAACCATATGAAAACAGGTATTAATTATATTTTATGACGAAGCTGTGTCTCAAAGTAACTTGTCTGAGATTATACAGCTGATAACGGGAAAGTCGTACTTTAAACTCAGGTTTAGTCTGATACCAAAATGTTAGATTTTAATACTTATTAGACATAATGTGAACATATATGATACAATTTTGCTTGCTATTGCTTGTACTTGGTTGTTTGACCAAGGCATCAGATCAAGCTTTGACTAAATCGGCACCACACTTCAGTCGGGGGAGTGAGAGTTAATGTACTCTCTTAATTTAACATCTGATACTAACAGAGGTTTTAAGACTATTCAATGGACAGTGAATCCACTTAAAACAATGACCATTGTTTTTCACTGATCAAAGAATATGTTGTGATGATTTACACAGGTGTGATCATGTGTTTTAGTGTACAATAAAAGTCAAGTCAATATTCTATTGAACAGCTCATTTGGATGGCTACCTCAATAATATGAATTTCTCAGCCCCTTCAATGGATATAAAATACCAGAATAAACTGAAATAGGCCAAAACTCTAACTAACATACAACGAAAGTAAAGAAGTTATACCCAAATAATATGTAATAAAGATTATACAAGGTAGGATTTTGCTATTTTAATAGTAAAGCTAGGCTTGAAAAGAAAAAAAAAAAAACTCAGAAGAATGATCTTTGATTTTTGCCCAAAAGAAGAAAATAAGAGAAATATGCAGGTCTCCTTCTGGCAAATCCTTTGAGCCTTGCAAGTACACACAAAATGTGATAATTCATGTCCAACATGAAAAGAACTGGTTCAATAGTAGAATTTTAATTGTTTTACTCACGCAGCAAATAATTAACATCTTTACTCCAAAAATACAATGAGTACATTACCAAAAATTTTTTTAAATTACCCATTACATTGATTTGTAATGCTTACAGAGGTTTCAGTAATAATTCTGCTATTCGCAGAATTATTCACTCATTATTCTGCTATTTGCCACTTGTCTTCTTTTTCTTTACCATTCCTTTCTTAGCCAACCTCTTATCACCATAGACATAACTGTTACTTGAACTTCTGATCCATTTTTTCACATTTATCTTTCCAGTAAACATATTTTCTGAGTTTAACCCTCAGGTATGCTCTTCCTGGTGTCTCCCCCAAATCTTATTGTTCCTTTCAGGACCACTAACCAACAACTGTAATCGTCTCATGTCTCTTTATGCCTTTTTTTCATACATAGGTTTTCCCAGTGACAATTTTTCTTGCCAACCTGGATAAATTCCACTACCATCTAGATCAAGTATCAAGGAAATCTTTTTCTATATCACTTTTCTTATTGTCTATGGATTTTCTTGACCTAAATAACTTAAAGCTAGTTTAAGGTGAATTTTTCTCATCACTATACTTCTTCCCACATACAAGCTATAAACAGAAAACAAATGATCCTAGACATTCTTACAATCACAGGGTTTTAGGTTCACCATTTATAACTTTCTGTATTAATCAAAACTTATTCAGTGGCAAATGACAGATATTCAGACCATCTTAATAAAAAAAAAAATGTATGGTATTGTTTAGCTGAGACATAAGGGGAGCTGGCTTCAGAAAAGGCTGGAACCAGAGTTCAAAAGATGACTTAAGGGAGCTCCCTCTCTTTGTCCATTTTCTTTTTTTTTTTTTATTGTTTTTTGTTTTCTTGTTTTTTGGGACAGGGTCTCACTCTCTCACCCAGGCTGGAGTGCAGTGGTACAATCACAAATCTTTGCAACCTCAACCTCCTGGGCTCAAGCAATCCTTCCCCCTCAGCCTCCTGAGTAGCTGGGACTATAGGAACATGCTACCATGCCTGGCTAATTAAAAAACAAAGTTGCAGAAACAGGGTCTCACTACATTGCCCAGGCTGTTTTCAAACTCTTGGGCTCAAGTGATCCTCCCACCTCGGCCTCCCAAAGTACTGGAATTACAGGCATGAGCCACTATGCCCAGCCTCTTTCTCCATTTTTAAGCTCTACTTCACTCTCTATGTTGGAATTCTTTGCTCTGACTACAGATGGATTTCATTTATGCAGCTAATGAAGATGGTCATCAGTAGTTCTTAATTTCCATTATTTATATTAACAAAAGGAAATAGAGGTTTATTTTCTAATTATTATCAGTCTGCTTGGGTCAGTGCTCACATTTTGGACTAATTTCTATTACCAAAGACACAAGACATTATAACTGGCCAATCTTAGGATCCATGCCTGGCGAGGGCAGAGGAGATATAACATTAACTGACAATCTCATTATACTTATGGAATGGGGTTTATCAGATTCCCCACAAAAGAAATGCTGAGTTTACAAAAACCTATGTTTCCTCACTACACTCCACCTTAAGCTGCCAAGAATCTATGTACATTCCTTCCTATAAATATAGAATATTCCTGTCTATAAAAATAAACTATCACCCACAAAAGGTAATAGCAACTAAAGGGTGACAACACCAACTATCAACCATTACTGCATCCAATGGAAGTCCTAGCATCACTTACCCGTGTAATTCATTTTTGCCCTCCTGAGTTTGAACTCAGCTGAGAGATAGACACAGGAGTTAGACAGACAGATATCAAAATAAACATTATTGCTAATTAAAATCAAATTAGGAAATGCAGCTTTAGCCCTGAGTCAAGGACTTGCTATTACTTCTCTCCTGAATTAATCAGAGTTATTCAGAGTCCCAGGGTGGGGCAGGCAGCAGTAGGCCTTCCCTGGCAGGTACAGGGCTTGTTTTCAGGTTACCATATGGCCAAGAACCAACCGAAGCAGATGTTCTCCAAAATAAAAAACATCCTATAGAGAACAGAGGGAAGAAGACGAGCCCTGCATGCTCAGTTTCTTCAACCAATCTCATTTTCATAAGTTGGTTCTTCTGCCCATGGAGGAAGTCCATGATTGAGGAGACAGAAAAACCAGGCATGTTTTATTCTAAAGACAGTCTTCCACATGGGAATATGGAAGTGAGAATAAAATTGTTTCATCCTGAATAGTAAAGAACATATAATTCTCTTCCAGGAGTATCAACCTATGATTAAATGATATCTGGAAATCAAAAGTAAAAGGAAATTATAAAACAGGATATCAAGTGGTGGTAGGTTGTTATATGGTAACAGATAACCTGAAAATCTCAATGGCTTACAACAGTTTTTGGTTTATTTTTTGCACCCTCTGAATTTCCATCAGTGGTCATCTGGGGAGTATGCAGTTGCTCTGCTCCCTGTCACTGCTATGGCTATGGGGACCTAGAAATTACCTTATATACTTTATATGTTGAACTTTCATAGGCTCTTGTTCTCCCAATTAAGGATTTCTCTGTATTATGACTCTATTAAAAGCATGTCAGCCCATCAGTCTGTTTAATTTCTTGCAATGACATTAGCTAATAATTAAAACCATAAATATTGGAGGATCCTGACCTTAGCAAGAAGCCATAACTTTATTCTCATAATCCTAGGCTTTAGGATAACTACTTCTATCTTGACCTTCCACAAAACGTTGCTGTGTTGAGGCAGAGCCAATCGGCTCCTCTGTTCCAAATTGCATCCTAGTGAATGGTGCTTTATCATGAGGGTGATTATAAACCGTACCATGCAATGAGTACACAGAAGAATGCTCTTTCTTCGTGAAAGGTTCTTTAATTTATTTGGCTCTTTCTGAGTCCCATTCTTATTTCCTATTGTGGTTTCCATCTTCTATTTATTTGCACCAGCTTCTGAGTGCTAGAGACAATTTAAATTTGGTGAATTTTGAGGGGCTTGTGATATATGACATGCAGTAGTCTGAAATCACTGGTCACTTGCAGATAGGGCTTCTCTTTATAAAGTTAAAAGCTTCGACACTCTTTTTTTTTTTTTTAGACAGTCTTGTTCTGTCACCCAGGCTAGAGTATACTGGCCTGTTCTTGGCTCAATGCAGCCTCCTCCTCCCAGGTTTAAGCGATTCTCATGCCTCAGCCTCCTGAGTAGCTGGGACTACAGGAGTGCACCACCACACCACACCTGGCAAATTTTTGTATTTTTAGTAGAGATGGGGTTTCTCCATGTTGGCCAGGCTGGTCTTGAACTCCTGGCCTCAAGTATTCCACCTGCCTCAGTCCCCCAAAGTGCTAGGATTACAGGTGTGAGCCACTGCACCAGGCCACTTCTTCACTCTTCTTTCAAGTGGCTCAATTGTACTAAAGCTTGTTTATTTCTTAGTGGAACTTACCCAGACTTTCAAGAATTTGCCAAAACATGCTAGCAACTCAAGTTTTTTGTAATGTATACTTCAGATCTCTGGTCTCTGTAAGTCGAATTTCAAAATACGACAGGTGACTGCTTAATCTACTCCTTATTTTGTTAATCCAAAGAAGCAAATAAGTTTCCAAACTGAGGGCAACAGGATGGGATCCTCATTGTTCATAACCCTGGCTCAATTCAGCTAGTTCTGTGTTTCAGATTCTCTTACTTGCAAAACTTTTACATATCAATTTGTAAATTTATTTATAAGGGATAAAAACATAAGTCCAATGATCTAAATAATGAAGGGGGTTTTGTTTGTTTGTTTTGTATACTCGGAAATTCAGGGTATTGGCAAGACTGGATCCAATTGCTCAAAACCTACCAGGGCCTCTCCAGCTCTCCATCTTCCTCTCTCCTTGCATCACTTTGCTTGGTGTTGGCTTCATTCTCTATGCAGAATGGCTCCCTTTGAAGCTTGGAAAGATAGCCACCGGCAGCTCCTGTAGCTTCTTAAGACTAGCAGGTGAACATCAATTCTTGGGAATGGTATGGTACTCATTATCTTACCATGAAAGGCAGAATAATATCCCCCCAAATATATCTGAAGCACCAGAACTTATGAATATGTTACTCTGCAGAGCAAAGGGGACTTTGCAGATATGATTAAGATTAAGGACTATGATATGGGGAAATTAACCTGAATTATTTGGGTGGGCCCAATATAAATCAAATGAGCTCTAGAAGTGGAAGAAGAAGGTAAATAAGTGGATCAGAGGGATGACAGCATGAGAAAGATATGATGTCCCTTTGCTCATTCTGAGTTGTAGGGCACTATGTGCAAAGACTAGAAAGAGGTCTGTTGAGATAAGGGCAGCTCTCAACTGACAGCTAGCAAGGGAACAGAGAGCTCAATGTTACAATCAGATGAAACAGAATTCTGTTAAGATCTGAATGAGAAAGGAAACAGATTCTCCCCTAGTCTATATAAGAGAACACCTTAATTTCAGCCCAATGAGACTAATACTGGATGTGTCACCTACAGAATTATAAAATAATAATTTTGTGTAGCTAAATTTGTGTTAAACACAAGCTATGAAACTTTTGTAATTTGTTACAGCAGCAGTAGAGAATGAATACACTTGCTTAGGTCACAAGCCCATCACATGGGCAATTACTGTTTGCCATACAGATTGCCCAAGCCTAGATTACCTGCACCAGAAAGAGGAAGAATCTTATTACTGACAGTGTGACTAAAAGTACAAGGAATGGGAAAAGTAGAGAAGAAACAAAGCCCAAACAAAACCAGGAAATATCTCCCCACTTTACTATGTTTATGTTGTCACTTAATCCAGTACCATATTTTACTGCTACCTTCACAGTGTTTTTTTTTTTTTTTAAATATAGCTTTGCCTTTTCATCTCTACCAACAAACAACTGGTCTGCCTTTGTTAGCAGTGTTTTTGCTTTGGAGTGTGTGTGTGTGTGTGTGTGTGCGTGTGTGTTTAGAAAAGAGGTGTCAGTATGTTGCCTAGGCTGAGGTACAGTGGCTATTCACAGGAGCAATTATAGGGCAATACAGCCTCAAACTCCTAGGCTCAAGTGATTCCTCCCACCTCTCGCCTCAGCCTTGCAAGTAGCTACACTGCAAGCACATACCACCATGCCTGGCTGATTAGCAATGGTTTTTAAAAGAGCATGAAAAGAATGGTCAAAAGACAGAGGATTGTTACACAGTATCTAATTTTGGTCCTAGTTTAATATGTAAAACAATCTTCATTTATAAATATTTTATCTATTTTCAGACACCAAAGCAAAGCCTTAAAGGTAGAATAATCAATCTTGCTTAGAGTCTTAGATCATTCATATTTATGAAGAAAACACAGGCCTGCCGATACTAAAGCTCTTGTTGTAGATCAGCTTTGTCAGTGGTTAAACATTCAATAGTGTGCACCAACCATCTGCTATGCTTCATTCCTGGTGCCCAGTTTACACAACAAGACCAAATAGAGTGATACAAATATAGCTGGAGCTCAGCAGGCACAGAAGATAAAGATAATGATGATAATAATTATAAAAATCAAAATAGTCATGTCTGCCATATTGTTCCTTAGTGGCAGCTGCATTTCAAATTCTAAAAAACTTGAAGTCTTGCCTCACTGGAAAAATATACAGCTATGGATTTCCAACTGCAGAACGTCAAAAGAATTATCATCACTAGTGCAGAACTTTTTTATGTTGTCATAAAGCTAAAAGAAGTCAATTAGGTCTAGTACTTCATTAATGGTTTCCACAAATCACATTTATAGCAAACCCTATATCCAGTGTGATACTAAGAAATGCCATTTAGAAAGACAAGTTTTGACACCTTTATATTATGGTATTGTAGAAACTGTGGGGGTAATTAATTTTTACTTATACTGCAATGAATCCAAGCAAAACTCTAAAAGCCATTTGGCCAATTACTGATTCTTTAGGGCAATGAAGCCTTTGCAGAAAGCTTGAGTTTATATTACTGGTATGATCAAAGCTTTAGTGAAATTACTGCATGGCAGAAACTACTGGACTATTAAGAGAAAACTACAGAAATAAATGAGTGCCTAGCTCTGAATCTACAAAAAATGGGAGCCTTCTGGTTTTCTTTGATTGTCTATTAATTTCTCATGATATAGCCCCATGTGGCATTCCTCTGACAAATTTCACTGAAGCATGTTTTCTCTTCTGCAAATTAGTAAAGCAAAGTCCTGCATGTGATATTCTTAATGGGACTTCATATCCCACTGTTCTTTATTATTATTTTAAGGCGAGTAGGTGTTTTCTCTTTCTCGAGAGTAATGACTGGACTAGCTGGAATTCTTTTATGGGTACTGCAGTATATAACCCAAGAGGTGTTAGGAAGAATTCATGCTGTGCTGCAGCTCCACAAGCATTCATCCACCACTAACGCTTGTGTTGCGATGTTGTAAAACTCACAATGATATTTAAATGGTACAGTAAACCAAGAATTCAGTGAAAGGCTTAACTTTCTATTCTTCCTGAATAAACCATTACTGACTTGGATGTCACATAACTCTTCAACACAGGCATTTTAACAGCTCATTCACAGGCCCAGCTTAATCAGTCACTTCTATTCTCATGCTTTCATTGAGAAATACGGGGAAGTATAATTAAGAATGCAAAACAGTGAGAGGAGAGTATGAACCCATTCACTTGAATTTGTTTATTAAAGCTTTAGGTTTTTCTTGGCTGTACTTTCAAAACAGATCCAGGATTTTGCCATTTTTCACAACCTGCTCAGATACACCCCAGGTACAAGCTGCTGTCATCAATTTCTCGGCTTGTTTCAGCAGCCTCCTAACAGATCCCATGCTTCTGCCCTGCTTCTCAACTCAAACCCTCTATTCCCAGCAGAGCAACCAGAGTGATGCTTTTAAAACTTAAATCAAATCATGTCTCTCCTTTTCCCAAATCGTATGATGGCTTATTATTTCACTGGGATAAGAAACCAGTGTCCTTAACTGACCTGCAAGCCTCCATCAAATCCAGCCCACGTTAACCTCCTATCACTGTCTTCTTCAGTCCGTCTGTTCCAATCAAACAGGTCTCTTTTCCATGTATCAAACAAGCAGGCATGCTTCTGCCTCATGGCTCAGGATTTTATTTTCCCTGTAACTAGGAATTTTACACATGGCTCATTCCCTCACTATCTGAAGATTTTTGCTCAAATGACTTCCTTCCAATAATTAAGGTACTCCCGTGCATTCCTTTAAATTTTTCAGCTTCCAGCTGGGTGCGGTGGCTCATGCCTGTAATCCCAGCACTTTGGGAGGCTGAGGCAGACGGATCACCGAGACCAGCCTGGCCAACACGGTGAAACCCCGTCTCTATTGAAAATACAAAAAAAAAAAATAGCCAGGCGTGGTGTCGCATACCTGTTATCCCAGCTACTCAGGAGGCTGAGGCAAGGGGAATCGCTTGAACCCAGGAGGCGGAAGTTGCAGTCAGCCAACATCGCACCACTGCACTCCTGCTTGGGTGACAGAGTGAGACTCCATCTCAAAAAAAAAAAAATAAGAATACAGCTTCCCTCTTTTCACTTTATCTCCCTCAACTCTGCTTTACTTTTCTCCATAGCACTTACCACCACCTGTCATACTATGTACTTTATTTATTTCTTCTGATTAGTATCTCTCTCCCGACTGCCCCACTTGCATGTAAATTCCACAAAGGAAGGGTTTTTGTCTATCGTATTTAATGTTATTAATTCTATAGTGTCTAAAAATAGATGAAATATTTATAAATGAAGAATGTTTACATATTAAACTAGGACCAAAGATAGGAAATCTGTAACCATAGCTTCTTCCTAAATGCAGACTTCTTCCTTCACTGCAGATTCGTCTATGTACAAGATAAAAGCAGCCTAAAGAAAAGCCCAACATTCAACCTAAGTATTTGCTAATGCCTACAATGTACTCAACAGTTCAGAAATGCAATGGTTAGAAGGGTGAAGATGGTGTAGTATGATCTACTACATGTGTTCATGAAAACAAGTGCAATGAATTAATACTTTGGTAGGAAAATGCACTAAATTTTTAATATTCACTTCTTGTCATTGAACAAAATACAAAAGAGTGAGAAATATGTTTCCCTTATACATGCTAAAAACTCAAGGTTCTCTCCTTCAGACACTGTTATTAGCTTTTGGATTGCAAGTGAGAAACAGAAGTTGCCAGTCACCCAAAGGAGACATCTGCTGTATTGTTTAAGACTAGGGTCCTCTCCTGTAGAGAAGAAAGTGAAAGAGCCTGATTCTAGGAGTTGAGAAGCAAAAGGAGATTTAACCCTGAAGGAAAGGATGAGTTTGGGAAATTTGTAGGTTTCTATGAATAGTAGAGACCTAAACCTTTTTTATATTTAATCACCAACTGTAGGTATCAGATATTAGCTGTAACCAGTAATTAGGCACTGAAGTTTGAGAATCAATGAAATTCTCCACAGCCCAGTCATCAGGCAAGGGAGAGGACTACCTTAAGCAGTGTTTGTGATTCCACCCAGGGATTAGTGCCCAGATAATGGCAAAGAATCAGCCTCGACAGTAGCATCAAGCAACAGATGGAACAAGACAGCACCAAGGACAAATAAGTCTCTCATTTGTTTTATAAATTCTCTTCTAGCTGCCTCCAACTCCCGTATCATGATGAAGTTTAGACTGTGAAAAAACATTTCCAAAAATAAAACTGAGATTTGACTTAGTTCACCATTTTAGCAAATGGAAGTTTAGGGACAAATTTAAATTAATTTATAAGAAAATAAACTATATTTCCTCTCTTGTCCTCGAAGATTATGGAGAATTTTATACTTGCTACCAACTGAGATCTTACTCAAAATTACTAAAAATATTTTTACAGATCGTGGCTGCACTATGTACAGACTATCAAAACTCCAATAAATCAAGCTTATTGTTTTTAAACCATAGCCAAGACTCTGAAGAGAAAAACAGACAGATGAAAAATGTTAATAATCATTTTTAACTTTAAGAATAACAACAATAATGAGAAAAACAACAGTGGGCAATACTAAGTCTCCATTTAAGGAGAGATTTTGCAAATGTTTACAAACACTCCTAAATAGATAGAAACTGAGTGGAAGAAGGTTCAAAAAGAAGAGACAGCAAACATATCACAGAAGGTTATTTTGAAGGTCCTTTTTATCAGGCTCTGAACTTCTAAGAGAGAACATTTTCCTGAAAAGGGAAGGGCATTTGGTAGCAGGTGTGGGAATATTATAATATCCTAAGCTTGACTATAAACTCAGATATGGTCTAATGTTTTCAATTTGTTGCAAAAATACCTTCAGCTTCCAAAAGAAGCAATGAACTCCTTGAAAATGAAGGTATTTTCTAGGGCTAGAAAGTTTTAAAGAAAGAGATACTAGAATTTTGGAGCAGGTCCATTACTCAGGTGCTATAGCAGCAAATCTTGCCCCAAACCAGGCAGATCCTACCTTTATAAAAAGATCAGTTGAGGGACCCAGTCCCTAAGAGTATTATGGCACTCAAAGTGCATGGCTGAATTACCTGAGCACTTTAGATTAAGCTTTGGCTATGTTGAAAACCAGAGAGCAATACAGATCAGCTTCTTGAATATCCATCCAAATGAAAATGAAAATGTGTCTGCATTTAACTAAAGCTAAAAACTGGTTCAGAAGTCTGGTCACAAAACACTCAGAACTGTTTAGCCAGAGAAAGAAAGGATATGTGTTTGGGAGCAATAACCCAGATTCTGCCAGCTACAACAGATGGCAACTGAGCAGGGCAGTAAAAATGCATGGCTACTCTGAATGTCCTTCTTCTGTAGGTCCCTTAAGAGCTCACTACAGAAGCAAGGCAAACCTGATACCTTGAAAAATAAAGACTGTCTGTTAATCTGCTATCAATATTGTGCCTGGAAAATACAGGCAAGGATAGGGTTGGTACAGGGCATGAAAGGAACTGGGCTGGTATTGCTATGGGAGATGCTCTTGGAGTTCTGCATTCAAGGTACCAGGGTGAAGTGCACTGCCCTACAGGCTCCCACCACGGGCTGAAGAGGAAAGAGTTTAATGACACAGACAACTAAATTTATTTGTTTGGAGTATACATTATGAACCCTTTCCAAAGCACGTCTACAATCTCTGTACACAAATGATCTGATGGTGAAGGCATTAATGTGGGATGTAAAAATCAGTCCTCCTTACACCACTTCAAAAAAAACCAGCTGCCTTCTATTCCCAAAAATGCTTTTTTTTTTTTTTTTTTTTTTAATAACTAAGCCTGCATATCCTGCCCCAGCAGCACAGTCAACAAATGGCACATGCTTCTGAGGGACTATTCTACCTGGAATATTTACTTCTTGCAGAAATTGCTGTGGGTGTGCAGCAAAAGTCCAGGTATCTATGTGCAGCCATCTTACTGTGTCCAGAATCGGTTCCTTCTGGTGGGTTCTTGGTCTCACTGACTTCAAGAATGAAGCTGCAGACCCTTGTGGTGAGTGTTACAGTTCTTAAAGATGGTGTGTCCGGAGTTTGTCCCTTCAGATGTTCAGATGTGTCCAGAGTTTCTTCCTTCCGGTGGGTTCATGGTCTCGCTGGCTTCAGGAGTGAAGCTGCAGACCTTAGCAGTGAGTGTTACAGCTCTTAAAGGTGGCGCCTCCAGAGTTGTTTGTTCCTCCTCGTGGGTTCGTGGTCTCGCTGACTTCAGGAGTGAAGCCACAGACTCTTGTGGTGAGTGTTGTAGCTCATAAAGGTAGTGCAGACCCAAAGAGTGAGCAGCAACAAGATTTATTGTGAAGAGCGAAAGAACAAAGCTTCCACAGCATGGAACGGGATCCAAGCAGGTTGCCCCTGCTGGCTCGGTGGCCAGCTTTTATTTCCTTATTTGGCCCCGCCCACATTCTGCTGATTGGTCCATTTTACAGAGTGCTGATTGGTCCATATTTACAGAGTGCTGATTGGTGCATTTACAATCCTGTAGCTGGATGGAAAAGTTCTCCAAGTCCCCACCCGACCCAGAAGCCCAGATGGCTTCACCTCTCATTACCATTCTGAGTTAATGTGGCTCAGATAAATATTGATATATGACATGGACTTCTTCAAGAGGGCATATTTATGTTTACAGTTTACATCCCCAATAACTATTCAGATAGTGATTATCTATGATTGGTGTTTGATATTCCTATCATACACTGCTAGTTGATCCCACCTCAGGTGAACCGGATATAAAGAGAGCATTTGCAAAATGGAGGTGGAGCCATAATTATATTTGGCAAGTATTAATGTGTGCAAGGAGAGTTTTTTACAAGACAGATATGGAAATCCCCCAAATCCCAAAGCTGCAGTATTATTTCATTTTTTGAAAGGAAAGTGTTAAGGTGTGCACTACTCCTTTGTTTGACTAACCTACTATAAAAGACCCTCACACAATTAGCTTTCCTCCTTGGAATCCTTATGTACATAACAAAACCAGAGAGAAATGCTGACTCAGAAAAAGCCTGAAGAACAGCACAATAAAAGTATTCATGTTACCAGCTTGGCATGGGTGAAGCCTGGCTCAATACAACCTTCAGTAAAGAAGACAACAATGGCAGCTTAAGAGACGGTGAATCTGGTGTCCCATGCAGTTTCCTGCTAGACTCTGGCCTAAAGCTGACCAATAGCAAAGGACTGCCTGAGGAGTAAAACTGTGTGAACAACGAGTGATTATCAAAGTTTTCCACGTATGTGTAGGTTCTAACAGCAGGTTTGGGGAACCTGTGTTTAAATAAGGCATTACTTCTGTCAGATGTGTCTTAGAGTAGTTACCTAATTCAGTACTTTAAGTTATTGGAGACTTTGAGGCTTAAGAGTTTTTCTGAATATAATGCTAAAAGTAAATTGCATTTATTTAAACTAATGGAGCAGAGTCTAGCACTATTTAGTAGTTTTTATATCAGTGCGTGTAGTTGTACATATGTTAGGATATGGAGAAACAAAGCATAGAGAAAGCCAGTTCCATAGCTCAGCATTTTTAAGGGGAAGGTCATTTGAATCTCAGTCTTCAGCCTACTGTCTTACTGGTTTACAAACTGTTATTGCTGAGGTACATATTCGTTTAGTGAGAGGAAACCATAATTTTCGTTTACAGTTCTTTTTAAAGCAAAGTACTTACCATATTTTTAATGGCAGGAGAGAGAAAAGTTTTTAAAATAGTTCCTAATAAAGTCAGATATTTAAATGACGTTAAAAGAAAAACTTTAGACTAATTAAACAGAGCTTATTTAAGCAAAGGGCAATTCACGTACAGGGCAGAACTCAGAACCAAAAGGGATTTAGAGGGCTCCACGCAGCAATGAGAGCAGCTAGCTTTTATAAGCCCAACACAGAAGCTAAATACAGAAATCACCTGATTGGCTACAGCTAGGTTTCTGCCTTATTGGAACATGGTGTGATAAGGCATTTGCTTTATTTGAGCATGGTCTATTCAGCTGGGTTGCCTTTGAATGGCTGAGCTCAGATGTTACCGATTTGCTGAAAACCAACTATCTGTTACAAAAAATATACTTCTAAGATAGGTTTCAGTTTGCTTACCTACTCAGTGAGGTTGTAGCTTGTTACATAAAAACGCAAAGTACAAGACAGCCTCAAGTTAATGGCCTCCTGCTTATTTAATTTAGCAATGATAATGACTAATGTGCTTAGTAGAGACTAAATAAATAATTTAAGATGAAAAAGAACACACATACAGAAATACACATGTACACCCACAAATACACACCTATGAATCAAAAGACAACAACTAAAGACAAAATGAAGCTAGAAAGCGCATTGCCAGGTACAAAGGTTAAACATTTCAGAGATAACCACGTGTTTTAAAAAGATAAAGCACCTCTTTGGAGTTGTGTGCTCATAAACAGAACTCTAAATAAGCACTGACAAAGTTATGACACATTTGATGGATTTTGATAAACCAGAGAGGAATAAAGAAAATGACCCAACCTGGTCTTAAAAGAAATTAGACTTTCTGACACAATTCCCCTTGTAAGTGTAACCCAAGGTAGCTGTGACCAAGGAAATAGAAAAGGAAAGCGCCAAAAGGCCCATTCATTTTTTTTTTTTTAACTGCCAACTTGAGATAAAGACCAACAATGGCAAAGATCTTTCCCTCTGGCAATTAGATTATGGCAAGACACTCAATGTCAGAGTCTCAGAGGATAAGAAATGAGGTCTTCAAATACAAGCAAAAGCCCAAAGAACTTAAGGTTAATGAAGATGAATTGGACATAACCAGAAATTGCATCTTAATTTTTCTTTTTACGGTTTTTAAGCCTAAGACATCCACGATTATGAAGGAGATCTCTTCTAAGGCAATCAGCTAGCCTAACTTAATTATTGAAAGCAAGCTCACATGAATGCTCAGGGAGAATATAAAAAATATCTGAGACACTGATTGAATTATGAGAATAACTGCTTAGGGAGAGAAGATACACAGGTACATGAGCTACACTTATAAAATGAGACACTGCAATGGGGAAAAATATTTCTTAAAAACAAAAATTTACTGGAGGAAGAAAATTCAGAGGATTATTTACTTAGACAATAATTTGTGGAGGTTTTCTTTTCCTCTGTTGTAAAAAAGTCAAAGAAAGAGAAGTATTGGACCCTTCCCATTCTAAGACAGTGGTTATGAATCCAGAATCTAGGCTCCCTGTCCCAAGGATTGTAATGACTTATGTGACAGAACCTGAAATAAGAAGTCAGCAAACGCATGGAAAACAAAAATTCCCCCAGTTGCTGACATCAAATCTTGAGAGGTAGTGACTCACCAAAAGTATCTGGTATAAAAACTGTTTAAATTTTATGGAAGAAAGGAGCTCAAAATTGGAGAAAAAATGTTGTGTTTCTCAAGACTGTGAGGAAAGAAGGAACTAGACTTCCAGGGAGTAGTGAAGAACCACACCCTCTCTGCAGAGGTGAGAGGCCAAAGTGGGAGACTGGTGAGGACTTGTTCCTAAACACAAGGTCTTCAGCATATTCATGGTGTCTTACAATAAGGAGTTTATAATCCCTGGAAAAGACGTCTTTGAAGGATACCTTTAAGTCTACCATCAGGAACATGGAAGATTCACTGAACCATGGCACCATCAAGAAGGTCAGAGTATGGTCATATAAGTACCATAACATATAGGTTACAGTACCTGTATGGCCACTGCAGACTAACAACCAGAGACTTTTCACTTTCCTGACACATTCCAGTACAGCCTCTGAAAATAAAAGGGAGAACCTTAAAACATGAATGAACAGATCAATTTTTAAACTGTTGGTTGATTCCCTCCTCAAATAGGGGACAGCAAATGGGTAACTTGTTCCCCATATTCTGTAGATAATAGCTCCAGCTTTGGCTAATATATCCCTACCTAATAAGGGTGTGGGACTTTCAGGCATAACAAGAAAGGCATGTGAAAAGAGCCAAGTCTCCCAATTACAACTGAGGAGGTGGGAGAAATACCTGGTTACAGGTATTTCTGTACCATTCCTCAGATGGTAACGGACCTTGAGGACAGTCTTACAGGACAGCAGATTAACACTGAGAATGCTGCACCAGTGTCCAGGAGGAAGTCAATTTCCTGGCCCTCAGTGGTTAAACGTACCCAGGGCTCAGTGAGGGTGAAGACATGAGCTGGCACTTGCCCCAGGCACCCTCAGTCCTGTTGTTGGATCATCTGGTTGGAGGCTTCTGACCCAGAGAACCTTTCTCTTCTGGGGCAGCACCTTCCAGTGATTGCCTCAGCATAGTGGACATGGACAAGGGGGCAGCTTGTTTCTCTTTGGACAATCATTTTTAAAGTGTCCTTGTAAACCACACTGATAACAAGCACTACTGGGTGATTGGCCTGCTCCATTTTCTGTCCTCTCTGAACCACCAAGGTTTGTTCATCTGAGAACCATGACTAAGGCTGCAGCCTTTCTCTGATTTTGCTTTTCCTTTTGGGCCTGTTCCTTTTGTTCCCTATCATAGAACACCAAGATTGCCAAGTTTAATAGTGCCTCCAAATTTTGTTCAGGGCCCAGGGTTTGCTTTTGGAGCTTTCTCCTGATAGCTGCGGCTGATTGGGTAATAAACTTATCTTTTAGAATCAATTGACCCTCAAGCAATTTGGGTGACAGGGGAGTATATTTTCTCAAGGCCTCCTGTAGCCACTTGAGGAAGGCAGAAGGATTTTCTTCCTTTCCCTGAGTTATGGTGGACATCACTGAATAATTCATGGGCTTTTTCATAATTCGCCTTAGTCCTTCTAGAACACAGGTCAATAGATATTTACAACTCCATTCCCCATGATCTGAGTTGAGGTCCCAGTGGGGATCCATACTAGGGAGAGCTTGCTGACCAGAAGGGAATTTGTCCCTTTCTTCAGTTGTCATTCTGTCATTTACTTGACTAAGATACCAGGTATCTCCAAACTCACAGGCTACAGCTAAAGCCACATTCTTTTCATTAAAGGCCAGCGTTTGATCTAACAGTAGCATGATATCTCTCCAAGTGAGGTCAAAGGTTTGCCCTAGACCCTGTAGGACATACCTATCAGGATCATCTGAAAACTTCCCCAGGTGTGCCTTGATCTGCTTTAAATTAGAGAGGGAGAAGGGGACATGTACCCAAGTTGGGCCAAATTCCCCACCCCCTACAGCTTGAAGAGGACATATCCAATAGCCCGGGCGGAGGGGCGGGGGGGTTATGGTCCTTTGGTGATTTCTTTGCTTATTTCCTTCTTGGTAGGGGAGATTAGAGGAGGTTTATCATTAATAGGAAGGGGAGCTATAGGTAGGATAGGATATGGGGGTAAGCTGAGAGGTCCTCCTGTGGGATGTAAATTGCAAGCTTTGCAAAGTTGTGTATTATCCTTCAATGAAAAGAAAGCTTGGACATAAGGTATTTCACTCCATTTGCCTTCCCTCTTACAGAAAAGGTCAAACTGCAGGATAGTATTGTAATTTGTACTTCCCTCAGGTGGCCATTTTTCCCCATCAGAGAGAGAATATTGGGGTCAGGCTATAGTGCAGAAAAAAATGAGCCACCTCTTTTTCAGGGTTTGTGGATCAAATTGGTCCCAATGGCTTAGGATGCATTTCAAGGGTAAGCCTGTTGATGCTTGAGTGTTTCCTATCTGAAAGACAAAACTGCCCACGGTTTTGGTTTGTTTTGTTTCTCCCCCTGCCCAAGAACCCACAACAATCCCTGGACCCTGCTGATCAGAATAGTTGCACCCACCAACACAGCAGCAGAAACAACTACTGCCCAAGAACCCGCAATGGTCCCTGGACCCTGCTGATCAGAATAGTTGTGCTTACCAAGGCAGCAGCAAAAACACTAGTTTTCCTCCCAGACCACAAGGAGGATTGAGGAAGGTCAGATTTAGTGGCCTTACTGACGCATTCTCAAAAACCTGTTAGAGTCCTAAGCATTCTCCTGTTAGTACTGGGACTTTACCCCTGACCTATAAAGATGTTATGCCCCAAAGATGAAGTGGAGGGCCATAACCTGTGGGAGGATAGGGTTCTCCAGGGTTGGAAGAGTGACACCTTTTGTCCTTACTTATATGAATAGGAATGATACAATTTCTGAGGCTCCCCATATCCTAGCTTCAGGAATAGCTTTTGCTAGGCCTGCTAGTCTGAGAAGGGATACTAAAATTCCAGATTGTCCCCACTACAATGGGGCTTTGGGCAAAAATTATGTCTTTCTGATTAGTGAATCCGAGAGCCTAAAGAAGGTAAGAAAGTCCTGGAGTTTATACTAGAAATCATTCTTATAGGAGAAACTAGAAAAGCACCAGAGACAGGGAGTGATTTTTAGAAGCAGGACTAGCCTCGGGAAAGAGAAGTGAGAGGAAGTTTGCCTGACAGGCATTAGGACCTAGGAGGGTCAGGGTAGATAGAATAGATGGGCAAGTCTCACTTGGGCAACATGCCTTTGAGAGTTCCGCTCACAGCTGCAGGATCAACCAACTTGTTGTCAGGACCCCAGAGCTGAATGGCTTTCCTCTCTGTCGACCCTTGCCTCAGCCCGGAAGTACGGGAAAAGTGGAAGCTGGTTCCAGGCAAACCAACGCTCCCAACTCCGAAGAGTTGGGGGTTGTTAGAAAGCCCTTTCCCAGAAAGCCTGACACTCGTGTCTTTAGTCCAGTGGCCGCGCTAGTTGCTTTTAACTGGCCAACAGGTGCCCAGTATTTAGCCCCCCAATTCTAAGGAAAAATAGGACAGATTAGCAAGTGAAAGGGGTCCAATGGTACTCACCGCTCGGCGATAGGTGATAGTCTCACCGCTTAGTGATAGGCGATGGTCTCACCACTTAGCAATGGTCTCACCGCTTGGTGATAGGCAATAATCCCATCTGGGTCACCAAAATGTGTCTGGAATTGGTGGGTTCTTGGTCTCGCTGACTTCAAGAATGAAGCCGCGGATGTCATGGTGAGTGTTAGAGTTCTTAAAGATGGTGTGTCCAGAGTTTGTTCCTTCTGATGTTCAGATGTGTCCGGAGTTTCTTCCTTCTGGTGGGTTCATGGTCTCGCTGACTTCAGAGGTGAAGCAGCAGACCTTCGCAGTGAGTGTTAAAGCTCTTAAAGGTGGCATGTCTGGAGTTGTTCATTCCTTCCTGTGGGTTCGTGGTCTCACTGGCCTCAGGAGTGAAGCTGCAGACCTTCATGGTGAGTGTTACAGTTCATAAAGGTGGTGCATCTGGAGTTGTTCGTTCCTCCCCTCCAGAGTTGTTCGTCCCTCCCTGTGGGTTTGTGGTCTCGCTGCCTTCAGGAGTGAAGCTGCAGACCTTCGTGGTGAGTGTTAACAGCTCATAAAGGTGGCGCAGACCCAAAGAGTGAGGAGCAGCAAGATTTATTGAGAAAACTGAAAGAACAAATCTTCCATTGCGTGAAAGGGGCCTGGAATGGGTTGCCGCTGCAGGCTAGGGTGGCCTGCTTTTATTCCCTTATCTGGCCCCACCCACATCCTACTGATTGGTCCATTTTACAGAGAGCTGATTGGTCCATTTACAGAGAGCTGATTGGTCTGTTTTGACAGAGCACTGATTGGTGCATTTACAAACCTTTAGCTAGACACAGAGTGCTGATTGGTGTGTTTACAATCCTTTAGCTAGACACAAAAGTTCTCCAAGTCCCCTACCCTTTAGCTAGACACACAGTGCTGATTGGTGCATTTACAAACCTTTAGCTAGACAGAAAAGTTCTCCAAGTCCCCTCCTGACCCAGAAGCCCAGCCTGCTTCACTTCTCAGTGGCACTAACCATGGGACTTTGTCACACCTAGCCAGGCAGTCCAGCAGCCCAGAGGGAGCTTGTCCCCCGATCAAGCCCAGCAGGCGCTGGCCGGCCGCACTGAGGGGCCCACCGAGCCTGTGCCCACCCGGAACTTGCACCCGCAGCCCCGACTCCTGCCCGAGCCTCTCCCTCCGCACCTCCCTGCAAGCAGAGGGAGCTGGCTCCGGCCTTGGCCAGCCCCAGAGAGGGGCCACCACAGTGCAGCGGTGGGCTGAAGGGCTCCTGAAGCATGGACAGAGTGGACGCCAAGACCCAGGAGGTGCTGAGAGTGAGCGAGGGCTGCTAGCACGTTGTCACCTCTCATTAGGAAAAAATAGTTAATGTATGTCGGGCTTGTAAATACCTAGGTGAAGAGTTGATAGGTGCAGCAAACCACCATGGTGCATTTTACCTATGTAACAAACCTGCACATCCTGCACATGTAACCCAGAACATAAAATAAAAATTTAAAAAAAAATGAATGAGATGGAATTTCCCACTATCTTGGAGAGTACAGAATGAAAAACAAATCTCATTTGATTCAGACCAAAGAAATATGACATTTTTTTTTCTGAGTTTTGAGTAATAAATTCTACCATGACAACATTGATTGGCATTAACCTTTTAAGCAATAGTCAAGTTTATTTCATATTTTTTAAATTATTTTTCTCAAAATTATACTTTTCTAATGGGAGAATAGCCTTAATTGACCTTACATATATATATATATGTGTATATATAAGGTCCTTATATATATGTATATATAAGGACCTTATATATACACATATATATATATACTTTGATATATATATACTTTATATATGTATATATAAAGTATATATATACTTTTTTATACAATGAATGATTTTAAGCCGCTTCTGTATGCCAGACATTGTGCCCCATCCCCAGAATAAAGGTGTGGGCAAAGCATATTTGTCATCTGCCCACATGGTGCTTTCAGTCTTACTAATTGCCTATACACATGAAACTTCATGGTTCAAATTTCTCAAACATTTTTCACGAATGTTTTCTTCACTTTTATTTTTTAATTGGTGAGGTTGAATGTTGCCTGCAGGGCATTTGGGTCCTTACCATGAATAATGATTAAAAAACAAAAGCAGCAGTAAACTCCTCTCAGTTCCTTCAACATTCAATAAATATTTACAGAGAAACTATTTGGTGACAGGTACTGTTTATGGACAGGAGGTAGACAATGAACAGCATGAAATTACATTTCTTCGTAGGGCTTATATTTTAGTGGGAAAGTGCAGATGTTAAAAAAAAAAATAGGCAGGATGTGGTGACTCAGGTCTCTTATCCCAGCAGTTTGGGAGGCAGAGGTGGGAGGATCACTTGAGTCCAGGAGTTCAAAACCAGGCTGGGCAACATAGTGAGACCCCATTTCTACAATAAGCTTTTTTTAATTAGCCAGGTATGGTGGTGCATGCCTGTGGTCCCAGCTACTTGGGAGGCTGAAGCAGGAGGATCACTTGAGCCCGGAAGGTTGAGGCTGCAGTGAGCCATGATTGTGCTCCAGCCTGGGTACAGACAGAGACCCCATCACAAAAAAAGGGAGAAATAGGTAAAATAAAAGAGAATATTAGATGGATTAGATGGTGGTAATTATAAGAAAGAACAAAATAAGGTTTTGACTTTTAAGGGGAGAGAGGTCTGGGAAAGCCTTTCTTGGAGGTAACATTTGAGCAACAATCTGAAAACGAAACAGGGTATACTAATGCTGAAAATGTGCTACTGATAGTGGTAAATGCTGCAACACTTTATCTCAATCTCTTGTCTCCCTCTTCCTTCACTGATTTTTCTAAATAAAAATATTTATTTATTTAACAAATATTTATTGAGAGTATAATATATGCTATATAATACTCTAGGCACCAGGAAGTATCAACAAGAAAAAAAAATTGTCTTAGTGGATCTGACATTCTAGAAAGTTGAAAAAGTTTAAGTACCTTGATCAAAGGTGCCTAATAAATAGCAAAGTCAAATTCAAATCCAGGTATTTCTTTTTCTTTTTCTTTTCCTTTTTTTTTTTTCTTTGAGATGGAGTTTCATTCTTGTCACCCAGGCTGGAGTGCAGTGGTGCCATTTTGGCTCACTGCAACCTCTGCCTCCCAGGTTCAAGCAATTCTCCTGCCTCAGCCCCCGGGTAGCTGGGATTACAGGTGCCCACCATCATGCCCAGCTAATTTTTGTATTTTTAGTAGAGATGGGGTTTCACCATGTTGGCCAGGCTAGTCTTGAACTCCTGACCTCAGGTGATATGCCTGCCTTGGCCTCCCAAAGTTCTGGAATTACAGGGGTGAGCCACCACACCCAGCCCAAACCTGGGTATTTCTTATTCTGAAACTACTCTTTTCTTCCTAAAAGTATACTTCTCTTATTCTTTTTTTTTTTTTTTTTTTTTTTTTTTTTTTGAGATGGAGTCTTGCTCTGTCACCCAGGCTTGAGTGCAGTGGTGCGATCTTGGCTCACTGTAACCTCCGCCTCCCAGGTTCAAGCAATTCTCCTGCCTCCGCCTCCTGAGTAGCTGGGATTACAGGTGCACGCCATCATGCCCAGCTAATTTTTTGTACTTTTTTAGTGGAGACAGGGTTTCACCATGCGTGAGCCACCGTGCCTGGCGGCTTCTCATATTCTTGATGATATGGAGAGATAACAGGAACATTTGAGATGTGGCAAATCCTTGTAATCATCATTATAATATTTCTTGCCAAAAATGGAATTTATTCGTTCAATGTTTGGTAAATAGTATATCAAAGTTGGTTTATGACGTAGAGAAAGCATTAAAAGAACCATTGGTAATGATACCTTGTTTAGGTGGATTTTCCACTGGAGCAAAATGACATTTGACTATTTTTCTGTATACTGTAAGTCACTACTAGGAGTCCCGCATACTTACAGATGGAGGAGCATTTTGTAATCCATAAAGAGTGATGTACCATAAAGGAATTTATAGGGACAGAATGCATTTTAGTTAAGAGTTCACAACTGTCTTTACCTCCTCTGCATCATTTTATGTACTTCCCTTTTCTAATAAAAGTTTGATTTCAGTCATACTTTTGACAGATGTGATGAAATTCACCTATATAAATAAAATTTGTTAACTAAATCATAGGAGAGAAATCAATGGTTCTAGACTCCAGTTTACAAGTACAGAAAACCTAAAATGGAAATTGAATCAAAATCTTCCAGTTGTAACAATGCATTCAAACTATGTACAAATCAATTATTCGTTCATTCATTTACCAAAAGCACTAAGCCCTCTTGAGTTCATGCTCCTCCCCTGAATGGCAATTCAGGGTTCTCACAGAGAGTTAACTCCTGATCCCCATGCTACAGATATTTGTCTATGGTAGCACAATAAGGATTTGGCTTTTGATTCTTTGTTTGAGTACTCTTTCAGTTTGATTTTGCTGCCAGGTTTGTTTAATCTCTGTACTACAGAAAATTTTCAATCCATTTTTAAAAACCTCTGCCAATCATAAACTCTGTCATTAACAATTCAGTCCATTATTTCTGAAATTGGCTGAATTTAACTAAGGACAATTTAGACTCCAATGGCCCCTTTGTGGCAGCCTTGATCTCCCTAAACTAGTCCAGTTATGAGATCCCCTTGAATGTCAGGGCTTTAAGACCTCACTATTTGTCAGCTAATTTTGCTTGGTACAAAGAAGCTTTAAAAATAAGAATATGTCCCTAAAATATCTCAAACTGTACAGCACCTTAAAGACTATCTCACAACCAAACTCTTCCTCAGCTCTTCCTTTATCCCCCCAAACACCCTCAAAACCCTTGTCTCACTGATAGCCCTCCATGGGTACCACCGTACCTGTTTTCCATACGTGCTACTCCTTTGGGCTGCTAACTCAAATCTGAGAAGCTGACCTCTCAAAGAAGAAATAGTCTG
Organism: Homo sapiens; assembly: GCF_000001405.40. Lineage (NCBI taxonomy): Eukaryota > Metazoa > Chordata > Mammalia > Primates > Hominidae > Homo > Homo sapiens. The sequence goes on along the minus strand of NC_000011.10, from coordinate 96,632,052 downwards.
TTCCATGCCATTCACAAGATGGCCACAATATCCTCTAAACTAGAACCCCTCCAAGGTCTTCAATTATAAGTCAAGGTCTCTGACAAGGACTCTTAGGCCCTGCACCCAATCCCTGTAATATCCCTATCCTCCCAAAAAGTAAGAATAATGTCAAAGGATACCAGTTAGTCCAGGACTTGAGAGCAATAAACAAATAGTCATTCCAGATTTGCTCTAGATTCTAACTCAAATACATTCTGGCTTCTAGCCAACTTAATACCTTTCACTTTATAGTCATTGACTGGTAGTCTTTTTTTTTTTTTCAGTGTAGCTCTTCAACCCAACTCACAGTATCTTTTTGCTTTCATATGGAAATCAATAGTTTACATTATGCTTCAGGGGTTTACTAAAGCCCCTATTTGTTTCCCTCACACTCTACACGCAAATCTGAGATATTGGACCTTATCCTGAAACTCTTATTTAGTACATAGATGACCTTCTCTGCTCACCTGATTTTGACACCTTGCTTATCTACAGCCCATATTCACTACAAGCTCTTGCCCATAAGGGGCATAATGTCTCCAAAAACATGCAATTATGCAGCCCTCAAGTGCATTACCTAGAACATGATATCTTCCTTGAAGGGAATAATTTATTCACTAAATGAATTAACACCATCATCAATTTTCTCATCCCTGAGACCAAAAGAACTGCAAAGATTTATAGGATTTATTGCCTATTGCCAGAACTGAATTACTAACTTCTATTACCACCTCTCCTTTTGAAGCCACAGCTAAGGAGTCCATTTCCAAACCCCTTAACTGAGATTCCCCTCCCATGTTTGCATTTCAAAACCTCAAATCCTCTCTATCATTTCCCCTGACTCTTGGACTCTACAGTTACTCATTGAGTTTTTCCATTTTTTTATGCATAAAGGAAAAGGACATGCTTTAGATGTCGCCATCCAAAAATACAATGGAAGCCAAAGTCCTGTTGGATTCTTTAGCCTCACTTTTGACCCTGTGGCTCAGACATTTTCACTTTGCTTTAGTTGCTGTTGCTACCAAATTGGTCAAGATCAATACTAACTTAATTCTGAGTCATGCATTCAACCTTTATGTGCCCCAAGTAGTTAAGACCCTACTACTAACTGAGAATATTCAACACTCTTCCACTTCCATCCTCACGTCCTGTGAGATCCTACTACCTTATTCCTCTCATATTGCTACTTATCACTCTCTACACCTCAGTCCTCTGCTCTTCTTCCCCTACTATCTGAGGAAGAACCTGATGACTGTATCACTCTCACCCAAACTTCACCAGAACTCCCAAATACTCAGATGTCACCTCCTTTGTGCACAGTTCTTACCTCAGGCATACAAATGAGGAGTTTTATGCAAAATATACTATCCCAGATTTTGAAACATTTGTTGAGTTCAAACCCCTACCTAAAGTTAAATCAGCCAAGCAGTTAAACTGATAGCCCTCGCCAGACTTGCATACTAGCACAAGATAAGAAAGCTAACATTTGCACAGGTAGCAGATATTCAATGGAACTCAAGTAGCTAACCTCTTAGAAGCCTTGCTACCCAAGGAATTAGCTACCCTCAAAGCTGAAGCTCACACTAGACAGTCTCCTGATGCTAAAGGAAACCCGTGGGGAGACAAATACGTCAAGAGAGCCACTTTGCAAGAAAATTCTTCCTCAGTTGCCTGCACTACTCCCCTTGCTCAACCTCCTTTAGAGATAGAAACTCTAATTAAGGAACTTCTGGGACAATAATTGCTAGCATCTAAGGCTGAGAAAGCTCATTGAAAACAAGCTACATGTTTTGTACATGTGAAGACACCCAGATGGCTACTTTTCATTCCTTGGTTTCATATCCAAAATTTAATCCACAACATCAGCAAAGCCCACAGCAAAGAATATCTTTAAAATATCCTTCAGAAATATTGGTAGGGTCACATCAGCTTCATGGTAAGCAAATAACCTCAACTTTCTCAATTTGCCACAAAAAAAAAAAAATACAATCCTGGCAAAAACCTAAAGGTAAGGCAAAGATGAGAGACAGTTTCCTCTGTTCCCTTCCTCATTGGCAAATGGATTTTATTCCACTTTTAAAGTATTATAAATATGAATAGTTTCTACCATAGTCTGCATGTTTTCAGGATGATAAGAAGATTTTACCTGCACATAGGATACTGCCACCACTATATTTAAGTTGCTACTAGAAATAATTTTCCCCACTTGGAGAATCCCTTTTTTCCTGTCTATCAATAGAGGAAATCCCTTCACTGGTAAGCTTACTCAGGATATTCAAACACTACTTCTACTCTCATAAGAACTCACTATTCTTACTACCTTCAAACCTCTAGAAAGATATAATGGTCCAATAGTGTTTTTAACTTCATAGTAGCGAACTCTTTGAGGAACCTAACCTGTCTTTGCCCAAAGTCTCTCCTTTAGACCTAATGATCCTTTGAACTCCTCACCACCCAGTCAACTTTATCCTCCTGTGAAATTATTACTAGCAGGCCAATCAATGAGATATTACTCTGGACATTGCTTTGGAATGAAGCAGACATTGCAATCTGCTACAATATATTATCCCTAAATACTGCCAAGCAATTGTTAAGTGCACTTACACTTTCCCCCAACAGGTCAAGTTGTTTCTCCCAAGATATACCACCACAGCTTAAACATCATTTTCAGATGGGAGACCTAGTCTTCTGGAAGACACTACTGAAAGACCGATCCTGAACCCAAGTATAAGAGGCATTATGCTGTCTCCTAACTATCAATACCACTGCAAAGCTACAAGTAGTACAAGCTGGGGTTCATGTTTCGCAATTTTAAAACTAAGCTTTATTACAAATGGAAATCCACACCAACAGAATACCATAAAGAGAGGATCTTTTAAAAGTCCCCAGAAGAGGATGACAACATGAGATACATTGCATTCCCAAGAACTTGGCACCAAGCAGATGACAACTCAAAGTGGTCAGCTTCTACCCAAGACACTGGATCAAGATCCCTTAGGATTCTTATACTTAATTTCTTCTGTAAACCTCCTTTGTAACCTACTCATCATCCTTCTTTTATTTTTCTTATTGAGCTATAATTCACCATGAAGTTCACCTTTTTAAAGTATATGATTCAGTGAGCTTTAGTATATTCACAAGGTTGTGCAACCATCATGACAATCTAATTTCAGAATATTTTTATTAGCTTAGAAAAAACTCCATTCCCATTAGCAGTTACTCCCCACTCCCCTCACCCCACCCCACCCAGTCTCTGGCAACTACTGATATAATTTTTGTCTCTATAGATTTTCCTATTCTGGCCAATTCATATAAATTGAATTATACAATATGTGGCATTTTGTGTCTGGCTTCCTTTATATGTTTTCAAGGTCCATCCATGTTGTAGCATGAATCAGCACTTCATTCCTTTTTATAAATGAGTAATGTTTCATTTTATGGACATACATATTGGATATCCATTTGTCAGTCATGGATATTTGGTTTGTTTCCACTTTTGAGCTATTAGGAATAATGTCAGTATGAAAATTTGTGTATATGTTTTTGTATCAATATATGTTTTTAATTCTTCTGGATAGGGACTTATAAGCAGCACCTCTGGATCATATGGTCATTCTAAGTTTAACTTTTTGAGGATTTGTCGAATGGTTTTCGAAAGCAGAGAGACCATTTAACATAGCTGCCAGCGATGTAAAAAGGTTCCAAATTCTCCACATCCTTGCCAATACTTGTTACCTGTCTTTTAAAATTATAGTTATCCTACTAGGTGTGAGGTTGTATATCATTGTGCCTTTCATTTGCATTTTCCTAATAACTAATAATATTGTATGACTTTTCATGTACTTATTGGTTGCTTCTATATTTTTTAGAGACTAACTTCTTTTAATTTTCTATCATTCATTGGTTTCAAAACTTCCTTGATTAATGTCCTTTCCTTTTCCTTTTGGCTTTCCCTACTGTTTCCTTTTTCTATATTCTTCATTTACCTACAAATATTTAGGACCTCAAAATCATCTGAATGGTATCCGCAGAACTGATTGGTCTTGTAATCTTTCCTGTAAGTGTTGGTTTTGTTGTCCCTTTTCTCTTGGTTCCACCATCTTTCCCAAAATTCCTCTTCTCATCCTTAAAACCTCTACTGCTATTAATTTAGCTGTTTTCCCATACACAATGTTGGGAAACTCTTCTTATAGTTTATTTAGATTAAATGAAGATCTAAATTCAATCTGGACCACTTTTAGAAGAGGTGGTGTTTGCTTCTCCCGCAATTTTACAGATGACCTATTTCTCAATTCTTGTTTCTGCAAATACACCTTTCATGCTGCCAACTCTGATTACAATTACTTGTAATATTCATTATTTTTTTCACAGAAGATATAACTTTATATCAAACAACTCCACCATGGGGTGTTGCCAACAGAAGGTACTAAAACATTACATATGGAAAACGCCCAATCAGCATATTACAGCCATATAGTAGAAAACATAGTCTATAGCAAACAAGTACTTCCCTCCCCTTTTGATAGTTCTAAAAGACACCTATTTCATTTGTGGAAACTGAATGTACTTTCACTTCAGAAAACTGAACAGACTTATGTTATTTAATCAATGCTGCCAGTTCTTATCAGATCTTTAACTCAATTCCCTTTTAAACTATTTAAATTAGTGTCTATCTCCTTTACTGCCCTATCATCAGTCTCAACAGTACACAAATATGAAGACTGACACTAAATATGGGCTGCAGTCTTTTCTTCACTTTGGATCTGAAGACATCTGCAAAAAGGAAGCTAAGTGCTTGAGAAGAATTGACTGCTGCATCCAATCATATTTGGACCCCCATTGGACATGGAGCAGCTGCAGTATTGTAATATGAACTACTCAAGAAGTAAAATAAAACTCTTGCATCCCCCATGCCCCATTAGAGGAGATAATTATAACTCTGGACAATGTGACAAAGAATACTGACTTCCTCACCCTAACTTCAAGAGCCTCAATGTGCAGGTCTCCACAACCAACCAGCACTTCAGATAATCTGAGCATCCAGAAAGAGAACATGTATTATGGTCAGAAGCAAAGGCTTTGCCACAGTTGTTCACAAAAAATTCTCTGACCTCTACATCACACCAAGAATACTTTATATACTAACCAAAAAATTTGCTGCATCACCACCACAGTTGTTATTCTATCATCGAAGGACCTTTCCACGTCCATCTCCTAGAATCCACTAGACTCATTGCCAACTGGCTGTTAAGTCTTGATCTTACTCCTTAAGACAATCTCTAATAAATATTTTTCTGCTTATTCTTATAGGTATGCACCTAATTAAATGCTGTGCAATCAGAACCCTTTCTGAGTTCCAGACATCCTTCACGTCATAACAGATGGTTGAGTTAGTTCTCCAAGAACAGAGCTAGCAAGAAACTGCTGACTCTGTGGACTATAATATAAAACCTTGATATAAAACCCTACTGAAATTACTCTTATGCCTAAGATTGTTTTAAGACAACTTTTGTCTTGAACAAAAGAATGGGGAAAAATGAGGCCAATACATTTCTATCTTCTTTTCCCTGAACCTACTGTTAAGGCCTGAGGTACACTTTCAAACTTCCCATACTTTGTCTCATAATTGATTAGCTAAGATTACAATGGCATGTCATGGTTGAGTCGGTAAGTTTAGAAATATTTGTTCCCTAAACACGAAGTAAAACACTTCCTGTTCAAATAACTTACTGAGACTTCCCCTTCTTGAAAAATAGCCCCAAATATAAATTTCCCCATCTCCTACTTCTTTACCCCTCCTTATAAAAATCTAATGCAAAACCACCCTGCTGAGACACTCTGATTGTTGGATCTGAGATTTTCTCTTTACTACAAAAGCCTGAACAAAATCAATCTCCTTACTTATCTGATTTTGGTTTTATAGTTATAATTTACAAAATTCAACCAATATAATTAATCAATGTAAGTGATCATACCTATTAAAAAACACTTTCTTAACTTCAATCCAGTTATAACTAAGTAAGAAGTTGGCTCAGAAGAAGAGCAAACTCATGCTACCACCTAATACAATTCATTATAATGGAGTAAAATTAAAGCATACTATTAAGATGAACTAAGTTGGGGACCCAGGAATATTAAAACTCTGCCTTGACCATCTCATCCCTCTTCTTCCAAAATCCCCAATGATGATACATTCATATAGTAAGCAAACCAAAGCAGAAAGAAATATTATTATCAGAGGAATGTTTGAACCATATTCTATTTTAAAATTCTAGTAGTTTGGCTGACTATGTAGAAAGCTTCTTTGTTTAAGTATAAGCAGCATCATAAACCAAAGTAGGCCCTAAGGCTGCTGTTTTGGCCACCAATGCCTAAACCCTACTCTCTGAAATTTCCATTCAAGTGGAACACCCACAATGCATGAATCAGTGGAAGAGGGAAAATGATTGTCTCATAAAATCTTATTTGTAACTTTAAGACTGCAACACCTTTAAAATTTGGGTAGAACAAGTGCCCTAGAAATGAAGAAATTCCAGATCGACACTTCTTTTTATAAGGCATGAAGAAAAGGAGACTAAGACAAATAGGATCTTCACTTTCCTCACACCAAAACCAGCAGTGAACAAGAATGGCTCCTAAAGATGGACTAGAAAAGACTTCTACCACTGAGCTTCTATCTGCTAAGTCAGTAAAGTTAACAGGATGATCAATACACCTAAGAAACTGAAAATTCTTATAATGTAGTGAGAACTGCAAAGTCTAATATAGTCTATATTGCTTTGGCTAAGAAATAATTGTTAATATATATTACATATTATGATATACATTATTAATATAATAAACGTGTGTTACTTTTTATCAGATATCTAGTCAGTTTACATAGAAATTGATTTAACTAAACTGTCATCCTCATTGCTTATAAAGACATACACTTATGAAAAAAAGGATAAAATCAATAGTTTTTTATTTTCCTTCATCTAAAAAATGGTCTTTAAAAGGCTACAAATCCATAGATCAGGTAAATAAAAAATACAAAAAAATCCCCTTGTATTTTTTTTTTTTTTTTTTGAGATGGAGTCTCGCTCTGTTGCCCAGGCTAGAGTGCAGTGACACAATCTCGGCTCACTGCCAGCTCCGCCTCCAGGGTTCACGCCATTCTCCTGCCTCAGCCTCCCCAGCGCTGGGACTACAGGTGCCCACCACCACGCCCGGCTAATTTTTTGTATTTTTAGTAGAGACGGGGTTTCACCGTGTTAGCCAGGATGGTCTCGATCTCCTGACCTCGTGATCCGCCCACCTCGGCCTCCCAAAGTGCTGGGATTACAAGCGTGAGCCACCACGCCCGGGATTCCCACTGTATTTCTTAAAGAAAAAAAGAAAATTGCTGTAATTCATCTTCTTTTTATTGATCTTGCTACTTATTCATTATATGGTCCTTAATAGGAAAAATTATTTGCATTTTAGAATTTGTTAGATTTTTTAAGTAATCATTTTGGAGTTTTTAGGGGGATTTTGTTGTTTTTTTTTTAGTTCTGGAAATTCTATAGAACCAAACATTAATATTCATTCCATCTTGGAACAAAATTTGGATGAGAAAAAGCAAGAGAGTTCTAAGTTTCCCCTCACCCTAGGAACCATGTAGAAGAAAGTCTGAACTCGCAGGGACGTTTACAGCAGGAGGCTCTTAAGGGCTGTTTCTAATCCAACCAACAATAAAACAAGTTTAAAGTCCAATGCAAGACTTTAAGTGTGATAGGATGATACAGAATAAAAAAGGATTTAAGTAGAAATAGAAAATGGCAACTGAGCTCCTGAGGCAGTAAAGAAATTTTTCTTTGCAGATGAAAGAGGATGTCTTATATCCTATCACTTTTCAAGTGGTATTCATAAAGCAAAAGCAAAAAACACTCAAAAGAAAAAACAGGAAAATGCCTCCTGTGCAGATGGAAAGACTCTTTTGTAAAAAAATAAAAATAGAAAGCCTTTATTCCTCTCTAAATCAAAGTCAGAAAAGAGAATCCCATAACCATGTAGAGTAGACTATTCAGATTCATACCTTCATCCAAATGAATCAGATACTAAGAAAAAGCAGTCTTGTAACCCTTGTAATTTTGTAAATTGGAAATCTAAAATTCTGTCTCTAAAGTTTGCTGTAACAGAATATTTTAGGTGCTACCATTATACTCTAGTATCTTTACACTCTACACGTGGTTCTACCTACATGTACACCTTTAACCACCTCCATGAGGAAGTGAGGCATCATCTATGCAGGCAAATGGCTATTAGCCCCCTTCATTTCTTTTAGGAACACTTTAAATCAGCCCTTTCCCAGCTAATTACCAAAGCATATAGGTAATCCCTTTATACACTATACAGAATATTTGCACCCCAGTTTCTTGTGAGAAAAATGTAACCCCGAGTTATCTGCAATTTAACCCTTATCAAAAGCCAGAATGCAGGCACGTTGTTTATGGATGTTGGTCTGAGAGCAGGCAGTCCGTCTACTTCTTCATCTATTCTAAATTGGCACTGAACATCAACATCAATCTTCAAGACTGGAGAACGTGCACCACATTGTTCTGGCCCTTTAAATAACTGCTCTAACTGAATTGAGCTTTTTCTCAATATCTTTAAACTATTTAAATAAACAGCTCACTCAGAGATAATCCTGCATCTGTCAGGGACAAGAGAAGTGATGCTTTTCTAATAAACTGATTGGTTTTAATTTATGGATATTCTAAACCTTAGAAATTATTTTATTCCATCTTTGTTTTGCCTGATAAATTTTAAAGCCAAATTTGCTTCTCACTTCTAGCAACTGTACAGAAGCATATAGAGTTGTCCCTCAGTATCCGGGGGGGTCGGGGGAAGAGATTGGTTGCAGGATGGCCCACGGATACCAAAATCTGCAAAGGCTCAAGTCCCTTGTTTAAAAAGGTGTAATGTTTGTATATAACCTATGCACATCCTCCAATATACTTTAAATCATCTATAGGTTACATATATTACTTAATACAATGTAAATGCTATGTAAATAGTGTTATACTGTTTTGGGTTATTTATTAGCAAGATTTTTATTGCTTTTCCTTTTTCCAACTATTTTGAATCCGCAGTTGGTTGAATCCTCGGATGCAGGACCTGGGGATACAAAAGGTTGAATGTACTAATCTGTACTAATCTAAATTCAGGTTTTATTATTTTTCTATTCATTTGTTTCTCTTTGGCCCTATTCCTCTTGTTTTTAGGTATAAGGTGCAATATGCTCCTTAATAGTAGAATTATTATTATTATTGGTATATCCTTCATTAAATGCCATATTGAATAGTAATTAAAGAAGATTTCTGGCAGGGTGCGGTGGTTCACGCCTGTAATCCCAGCACTTTGGGAGGCCGAGGCAGGGGGATCACGAGGTCAAGAGATCGAGACCATCTTGGCCAACATGGTGAAACCCCATCTCTACTAAAAATACAAAAAAATTAGCTAGGCATGGTGGCACATATCTGTTGGCTCAGCTACTTGGGAGACTGAGGCAACAGAATAGCCTGAACCCAGGAGGCAGAGGTTGCAGTGAGCCGAGATCGCGCTTCTGCACTCCAGCCTGGGGACACAGCGAGACTCTGTTGGAAAAAAAAAAGAAGCTTTCTAAAAATATAACTAAACTTCATGGAAATATTCAGAAATAGAACTGATAAATTATCATTGCTCATGTCTACTTTCAACTTTACCCTTTAATTAGCCAAGCACTTAGGTCATGCTGATTATATTACATTGTTTTAATGCCAATGCTCTTGTGCAATTTATATTTCAACACACTGAGAGTAAAGGTTTCTTCTTTAACAGTGCTAAAAATATTGTTTTCCTGGTGACATAATTAATGAGCCACCAGAAAAGCATGTCTATAACCAGGAAGGACATTAAATAAGAACTGACAGAGTCATATGATAAATTGCTATATTTTGACATCTAAAGGATTATTTTCAATTATTTTTCTTGGACAATTAAGCTTATTCAAATTCCATAATGGGTTGTGTCAGTCATCATCATACATAAAACACTTTGATGGTGTACACTAAGTTTTTTCTCCTCATACAAATATCTTAAGACCTGCAATTACACCTCATTAAACCTTGGCACCATAATTTGGAAGTCCCATTCATAATATTTACTCTAAAATTGTACTAAATAAATAACATGTATTATCTCTAAAGCATTCATGAACTTGTCTGCAGCAGAATATTTAAAATTGCATAAATTAGGTAGGGTTTCAACTGTCAGTAGAAGTTGATAAAATAAAATGATGAAAATTTTTTCCTTTTTCTGTCATAGAGAACATGTACTAGATCAATTTATTTCTGTTTTTATTGATGCATAATAGTTACACATATTTTAGGGGTACCTATGATATTTTGATACATACATACAATATGTAATCAGACTAATTGGGATATCCATCACCTCAAACATATGTCTTCACTATATGTTGGTAACATTCTAATTTTTCCAGCTATTTTGAACTATACATTATTGTTATCTATACCATATACTATCAAATGCAGAATCTTATTGCTTCTAATTATATTATACCCTTTAAGCAACCTCTCTTCCTACCTCCACCCCCACCTTCCCAGCCTCTGCTAACCACCATTCTACTCTTTAACTCAATGAGATCCACTTTTTTACCTCCCACAAATGAGATGAGAATGGCAATATTTCTCTTTTTCTGTGCCTGGCTTATTTCACTTAACATAATTAGACCTCCAATTCTATTCATGTTGCAGCATATGACAGAATGTCATTATCCTTCATATTTTTGTATTTCTCTAAAACAAGCAGATAATTAAGAAGCGAGAGGAGGAGGACAAGAAAATAAAGACAGGAAGGAAGGAAAAAAGAGAGAGAAATTCTACTATGTTCCATGTCAGATAAGAAATACTAAATTTTTCTCTTTGTTTTAGCTACCATACAAGCTGGCTAGTCTACCCATTCTAAAATTGCATTCATGTTCAGAAACTGTCTGAATGATGATAGCTTATGGAACTTTAAAAAATGCAGGTTTCTGAGTTCTATGCCTATTCTGTTACAGCAGGACTGTAAAGGGACCTGAGAATCTGTATTTTGAAGTTTTCAAGGTCAGTAAACACATGAAAAGGTGCTCAATATCATTAACTATCAGGGAATACTAACTTGAAAAAATGCAAAACCATTATATATCCACCAGGTTGTTTCAAAGAAGAAAAAAAAAGATAGAAACCAGAACTCATATACATAGTTGTTACAAACAAAAATTGGAACAACCAGTTCAGAAAACTGTTTGGTACGATCTTCTTCTGAACACTGAAAATGACAATTCCCATGACACAGCAATTTTACTCTTAGGTATGTAACCACAGAAATGTGAGCCAATGTTTTCCAGAAGACATAAACAAGTATAATAATAACAGCACTATATGTAATAGCCAAAAACTAGAAACAACTGAAATGCCTACCAAGAACAGAATAGGGAGATAAGTTTTAGTAGTACATAGAACTATGTTCATTAAAAATGTATATGGCAATGAATAAATTGAATAAACTACAGCTAAAAGCAAGAACATAGATGAATCTCACAAACATAATGTTGAGTGAAATAAGCCAGATGTTGAAAAACTACATATAGTATGATTCCATTCATATCATGTTCAATAATATTTGTAGAAAATATAACTTAGAGGAAATTACTATTTATAATTTATAAATGTATAATTTTTTATAATTTTAAATTTATATTTATTTTGTAATTTATATTTATTTTTATTTAATTTTTAATTTAATGCATAGATTTATAAATTATAAATTTATAAATTAACTATTTATATTTACACACAAAGATTTCTTACCAATCCAGTAAGGAAAAAACCTAAAATGTCCTAATATAAGTATGTGATTATGCAACACACAAAAAAGATATACAAATGAATAATATACCCATAAAAATGTATTCAACATCCATCAAAGAAATGTGACTAAATATCTGAGAGATCACATTTCGCCCATCAGGTTTGGAAGGATTTAGATATTTTACAAATCCTAGAATTGTTTAGGGTAAACAGGTACTATCCTGTAAAGTTGGTAGATGTCTACATTAGTATATGTCTGTAGGACAGTTTAAGAATATAAAGCGCATGCATAATGTTAATCCACTAAAGGCAAATATTTAGATTACTATTCTGCCACAGTATCTCAAACAGTGACCAATGCATGGTAGAGGCTAATATCTGCTGAATGAATGAATGAACTAAGAATAGGACAAGATGAAAAACTTACATTTGAACAAAAATTTTTCTACCACAGTCTTTATAGTAGAAAAAGGAAACAACATATATGTCTATCATTAGAATCCTTCTTCAGTACAATGAAAAATTAATCAAATATTAGATGCAATGATGTTCCCCTATTCATTAATACAGAAAGAGACCAGGGGAATGGAACCAAAACCAGGGGAATGGAACCAATAATGACATATTGAGTTAAAGGGAAGTTAAAGTATCATATATAACATTATTTTATGTAGAATTATTTGTAAATACTTATTTGTATATGCTTACAGAGAGATGTGTTTGGAAGGATAGTCACCAAAATATTAGCAGTGGTGCTTTCTGAATTATGCAACTTAGTGACATTTATATTTTCTCCTTTGCGTGTTATCTTATTTGAATGGCTTAATGACAGGCATGCATAATTTTAAAGTAATTTTTAAAAATTAAAACCAAATTATATTAAAATATACACTTATAATCACCTTTTAAAGCGTCTCCTATTTGCCATTGAGTTTTAACACTGACAAAAAGTCACTGGGTGTAGAAATTTAAACAGCCCTAATAAAAACAATGCCTAACATTAACATCCATCTATTTTATTTTAGAGCTTAATTTACCATCTGTTACATTCAAACTTCCCATCTCTTTACAATTCAATGTATGTTGTGGTAACTAGAAATCCAAATGTGTATCCAAAATAGACCATAAATGAAATATCCAAACATAAATTACATTTACTCAAACTGAATGCAAATGCCCACAGAACTTTTCTTGGATTAGCATCTGTTTCCTGCTTTGTTTTCATCTGCAAATATGAAAACTAAGTACTCCCTACTTCAAAATGGGCAAGAAGCCATTTTTATTTGCCTCAGGATAGTAAAGCGAGTTGCTAAAGAAATATTTGCTGCCCCAGCCTATGCACAATACTTCTAAATGGTGTTCCTGAGACACTAAAATGGATATTGATAAAATAAGGAGATTTTTATTGCACAGTGTCAGGTGTCTTATCAATGACTTATTTAACAAATATTGGGTGTCAAATATGTCCTCAGCATTGCATTAAATGCTATGAAAGGCAAAGAAAAAAGCATAAGAAAAAAATTTGTTCTTGAGATGTTCTCAATTATTTAGGAGTGATGAAACTCTTAGATAAGAAAAGGATTGAAACAATTTTAGACAGCCTATTATCAGGTGATAGACAAAGTGTGTGTGTGTGTGCTTGTGTGTGTCTGTGTGTGTGTCACTGAGAAAGTGGATTAATATTTCTTGAAACTTAAGGTCTAGAGATGCAAAAGCAAAAATAAAAAGATGTAAGGATGACTATTTAATAATGTACAGCTGACACAGATCAAAGCAAGTACAACTTTATTGATAAGTCCCACACCCCATACACTAAATTGAGTTTGTACTGAACACAAGAACAAAATCCATCACTCAGTATTCCCAAATGAATATTCAAGTTTTCACCAACAGTATACTATAAAACTATGCATTATTTTTAGAAGCTTACTACCTGAATTTATGTAAAAGAATAAAAGGCTTAGGAAGAACGTAATGTTGTAACAAAGTTATCGTGTACAATGTAAACATTTACATCCCACTGTGCTCTCTTTAGAGGGACCTTAGGATGCCTGGTTGACTAAGGCATTGAGAAATTGACAAATTTCTTAGTGAGAAAAGTATTGCATGCATTGGAAAGCTGTGTAGTTGCTGTTCTATGAGCGCGGGCATGATGTTAGGAGATGCTGCCATTGTAACCAGCATTCTGATTGTAATGAGAATAGTGGCATCTCAGAATGGTACAAGCTCCATGTCAGTACGCAACTCCAGAGGCAAAGGACGCAGAATTGACATAATAGGAAATAAAATCACAGTGAGAATCAAAAGGTTTTGACCTATGGTCTTGGACTTTTGGTTATGGAAAGTTGTTCACATTATCCCTAGAAAGAAAACTGGTAGGAATATGACTAAACTATTATTTGATCCAGGTAACCTGAGGAGCTCCATTTCAAGTGTGTACTATAATGGAGACTCACAGCCTGTAGCTCAGTTACCCATTTTAGCAGAATCCCCTTAAGGAAAGTGCCTGCGATGCTGCCCAAGAACACTGTAAATATCCAGGCTTGCACAGAAGAGACCTACGGCTATTGTTTGAAGTGACTCTCCAGAAAAGAAAAGAAATTTCAGGAATTATTGGATGCTAACTCTGAATTTATTCTAGCATATGAGTAAGAAAAACATCAGAGATGTTCACCAGCAAAGTGAGGAGATACTGGGGACGGGTGATAAAAGTTATTTTGGCCGAGTCTCACAGTGAGAACAGTAATTCCACAAAATCATTGTGCACCATTTCTCCAGTTCCTGAATTTATGACTTCAATTTTCATATTTGGTGACTGGCCAAATGGAGTGTAGTAAGAGCCATTGTTGTAGAAAGGTTCAAGTTAAAAGTCCTAATTTTCCCTCCATCCAGGAAGCCACAAACACAATGTCATCTCTGAAGAAATTGCTGCAATTAGTACAACCATCAAAGTCTTGAAAGATGAAAGAGAAACGATTCTTATCACTAACTCATATTATTTGTCTATTTGTTCTATCCATAACAGTAGTTTTAACAGTGAATTCTTTAAATCACCTGGCAAACTCAAATTCAGCTGCTATTTCAAATATGGTAGGTTCCCGGGAAGAAAATCAACATAGGTCCTGGCACCTGATACATTTACCTGTTAGCCTAAAAAATGCTTTTTAAAATATCAGTTTCCCAAGACAAACCACAAAAAGTTTATTTTCATCTGGCAGAGACAGGAATACACATTCATTGTTTTGCCTCTATCAAAAAAAAAAAAAAATGCACCAGATGGGGTTTTAAAAGGCAAGGAAGACTTTACTCAAGCCTATTGCAAAAT
Organism: Homo sapiens; assembly: GCF_000001405.40. Classification (NCBI taxonomy): domain Eukaryota; kingdom Metazoa; phylum Chordata; class Mammalia; order Primates; family Hominidae; genus Homo; species Homo sapiens. The sequence goes on along the minus strand of NC_000011.10, from coordinate 96,616,830 downwards.
GGGAGAGAAATTAAACTCAACTCCACTGAAACAGAGGCTGAAGGGTTTTTAAATGCTGGAATAAGCTAATGGGAAAGTATTGGAGGATGTCGTTTGTATGTGTTGGGGGGTGAGGGAGGATGTTGGTCGCTGTAATTAGGCCACTTGTGTTTGCTAACTGGTGCTTATCATAGTTAGACTTCTACCCTCCCACAGAGACTGGGAAATAAGAACTCTATTATTCTTGATGACTGCATTTCAAAGAGTCCATTTTCAGGTCCTTGATAAAGGCATTCCTGAGTTGTCCATCTCAAAGGAATAGAGGGAGAATTTACAATTGCAAGTTTTCTAAAGTAAATGCTCTAAGAAAATGGAGGTTAGGTGCCTATAGTCAAGAAGAAACCTGTCCAAAATTTTAGTCAAGCTGAGGGGACTGTTAGGCTATCTTGGTCACCTCAGGGGTATATTTGTTTATTTAACTCTTCTATTCTCCAGAAAACAATCTATAAAAACCATAAGAACTTTGGTAGTCTTGATGTCTCACAGATTGGACCTGGTGAGCAGAAAAGAGTACATATAAAAGATACATTAATAAAACACAATTGTTCCAAAGAGTAGGAGATAAATTCTATGAGAATGCATAAATTCACCACCTTGGTCCACTTTCTAGAAATCCAGTGGTCTGCAGAGTGCCATAATTAATCCTCAAAAAAAAAAAAAAAAAAGGAAGAAAGAAAGACTATGTCTAGAACTCTGGGAATTCTAAAGGATTCTCACTACTTCAAAATCAATTAGTAAAAGTTAATGAAAAATTAGGTCCTGAAGTCAGGGCTGCAGAGGGCTCAGACCCTTCAGAAATGAAGTTTTAGTTCACTCTACCAGAAAAAGAATCTTGACCCCAGATTCTTTCACCCTGAGGCTTCAGGGCAAAGGATATGATACAGTTTGTGGAGGAATAATGACCAGTCACATAAATAAAAACATCTGGTACAAAAAATATGTTATTCTTTATTTATTTAGTATGTATTTCATTGCATATTTCCCTTCTTCTTTTTCCCTAATATGCAATATAAAATTTATCAATGGTAATTAAGTTTTTTTAGTTACTACTTTACTGAATATTTAGGTGAAAATGTGACTGAATAAGAAGAATAATTTGCTCCAGTGTTCCATTTCCTTTGTTCCAGGAACACCTAGGTGACTTTACCACAGCCCCTGTTGTCCTGTGACCTGCAGGTACTGGGAGAGCCATAGGGAAGACACCGGAACATCTGAAGGCTGGAAAATGAGTGATGTGTCCTCAGCCACTGTCCTGTCTTTTCCAACGGTTTGGGGATGACCTGAGATGCTCAAGAACCGTAACAATGTGCGAATCTTGCACTCTGGCAACCGAGATATCCAGGTCATGTCATCAGAACTAACTAGGTGGCTGGGATGACCCACAAAGAGGAAGGAAGAGCAATGTGGTGTGGTGGCCCACCTGACAGCCACGTAGGGCAGGGGAGCCCCCACCCCCTAGCCAAGGGTGCAGTGATTGAGCATGCTACCCATCCTGGGAATCCATGGTTTTTCCATGGAACTGTGCAACCCACAGATCAGAAGATCCCACTCATGAGCCCACGACACCAGGCCTAGGGTTCCAACCACAGAGGCTGGCACAGATTCTCAACAGCCACTCAGCTAAAATCTGGTTAAGACTGCTGAGCTCCCCAGGGAGACGGGAGTGGAGCTGGGGGAGAAGAGGCCAGGATAACAGCTGCAGCTGCCTGTTTTTTAAGCCATTTGAGCTCCTTGGAGGAGGAGTGGCAGCCAACACTGGAACTGATAGCTGCCTAACACACTAAGCTCCCAGTGTCGGGGGGAAGGGCAGCAGCCATCTGTATAGCTCCAGGCTGTGCTTTTCCGTTGCTGGAGCCAGGGAGGCTGGACAATTTGGTCCCAAGAGGTATCCTTCACACCTCAACATACTTCTTCAGGCCTGATCCTGACCCATCCCTCCTCACTGGGCAGGGCCACCCTGCAGGAACTCCAACAACTCCAGCCAGGGGCTCAGGACAGAACGCTGATCTCCCTGGCCCTGACCCCCTGTGGGGAAGGGTGGCCATAGTCTCTGCAGACCAGCAGACTTGGTCTTTCCTCCTGCTAGTTCTGAGGAATCTGGGCAGCTCAGACAAGTGGATTTCCTCCCAATGAAGCACACCCCGTCCACCAAGGGACAAAGTGTTTCATGAAATGGGTACTGCTCCCTGTGCCACCCAACTGGGTGAGACCCTCCAACAGGGGTTGTCAGACACCCTATATAGGAGCATTCCTACTGGCATCAGGTTGGTGCTCCTCGAGGTCAGAGATTCCAGAGGAAGGAGCAGGGATCCCAGAGGAAGGAGCATCTTTGCTATTCTCCAGCCTCCTCGAGTGACATCTCCAGACACAGGAGCAAACCAGATAAATAGGGTCTGAAGTTAAACCCCAGCAAACCGCAGCAGCCCCACAGAAGAGGGACCTGAATACTGAAAGAAAAACAAACAAAAAGCAACAACAACAGCATCAATGAAAGAAGTCCCCACAGAAACCCCATCTAAGGATCGGCAGCCTCAAAGATTGAAACTAGACAAACTCATGAAGATGAGACAGAATCAGTGAAAAACTGCTGACAACCCAAAAGGCCAGAGTGCCTCTTCTCCTCCAAATGATCACAATGCCCCTTCAGCAAGGGCACAGAACTGGAAAGAGCATGAGATGGACGAATTGACAGAACTAGGCTTCAGAAGGTGGGTAATAAACTCCACTGAGATACAGGAGCATGTTCTAACCCAATGCAAGGAAGCTAAGAACCTTGATTAAAAGTTACAGGAGATGCTAACTAGAATAACTAGTTTAGAAAGGAACATAAATGACCTGATAGAGCTGAAAAACAGAGCACAAGAACTTTGTGAAACATACACAAGTATCAATAGCTGAATCAGCCAAGCAGAAGAAAGGATATCAAAGTTTGAAGACCATCTTGCTGAAATAAGGCATGAAGACAAGATTAGAGAAAAAAGAATAAAAAGGAACAAACAAAACCTTCAAGAAATATGGGACCATGTAAAAAGACTGAACCTACAATTGATTGGAGTACCTGAAAGAGACCAGGAGAATGGAACCATGTTGGAAAACACACTTCAGGATATTATTCAGGAGAACTTCTGCAACCTAACAAGACAGGCCAACATTCAAATTCAGGAACTACAGAGAACATCACTAAGATATTACATGAAAAGATCAGCCCCAAGACACATAGTCATCAAATTCTCCATAGTTGAAATGAAGAAAAACACCTTAAGGGCAACCAGAGAGAAAGGGCAGGTCACCTACAAAGGGAAGCCTATCAGACTAACAGTGGATCTCTCAACAGAAATTTAACAAGCCAGAAGAGAGTGGGAGTCAATATTCAACATTCTTAAAGAAAAGAATTTTCAACCCAGAATTTCATATCCAGTCAAACGAATCTTCATAAGCAAAGGAGAAATTAAATCCTTTCCAGACAAAAAAATGCTGAGAGATTTTGTCACCACCTTGCAAAAGCTCCTGAAGAAAGCACTAAATATGGAAAGGAAAAGTTGGTACCAGCCACTGCAAAACACACCAAAATATAAAAACCAGTGGCACAATGGCACCATGAAGAAACTTCACCAACTAGTGTGCAAAATAACCAGATAGCATCATGATGACAGGATCAAATTCACACATAACAATATTAACCTTAAATGTAAATGAGCTAAATGCCCCAATTAAAAGACACAGACTGGAAAGTTGGTTAAAGAGTGAAAACCCATCATGTGCTGTATTCAGGAGACCTATGTCACATGCAAAGACCTATATAGGCTCAAAATAGAGGTATTGAGGAAAATTTACCAAAAATGAAAAGAAAAACAAAAAAAGCATGGGTTACAACCCTAGTATAACCCTAGTCTCTGATAAAACAGATTTTACACCAACACAGATTTTAAAAAAAGACAAAGAGGGGCATTACATAATGGCAAAGGGATCAATTCAACAAGAAGAGCTAACTATCCTGAATATATATGCACCCAGTACAGAACCACGCAGATTTATAAAACAAGTTCGTAGAGACCTATGAAAAGATTTAGACTCCCACACAATAATAGTGGGAGACTTTAACTGTCAATATTAGACAAATAAATGAGACAGAAAATTAATAAGGATATTCAGGACTTGAATTCAGCTCTGGATCAAGTGGACCTAGTAGCCATCTACCGAATTCTCCACCCCAAATCAACAGAATATACATTCTACTCAGTGCCACATGGCACTTATTCTAAAATAGACCACAAAATTGGAAGCAAAACAAACCTCATCAAATACAAAAGAACTGAAATCATAATAAACAGTCTCTCAGACCACAGTACCAAATTAGAACTCACTCAAAACCACACAATTACATGGAAATTGAACAACCTGTTCCTGAACAACTCCTGGGTAAATCATGAAATTAAGGCAGAAATCAAGAAGTTTTTTGAAACCAATGAGAACAAACAGACAAAGTACCAGAATCTCTGGGACACAGCTAAAGCACTGTTAAAAGGGAAATGTATAGCAATAAATGCCCACATCAGAAAGCTGGAAAGATTTCAAATAGACAACCTAACATCACAATAAAAGGAGCTAGAGAAGCAAGAGCAAACAAATCCAAAATCTAGCAGAAGACAAGAAATAAGTAAGATCAGAGCAGAACTGAAGGAGATAGAGACACAAAAAAAGCACTTGAAAAAATCAATGAATCCAGGAGCTGATTTTTTGAAAAAATTAACAAAATAGATTGACTGCTACCTAGACTAATAAAGAAGAGCAAAGAATCAAATAGAGAAAATAAAAAATGATAAAGGGGATGTCACCATTGACCCCACAGAAATAGAAACTACCATCACAGCATACTATAAACACCTCTGAGCAAATAAACTAGAAAATCTAGAAGAAATGGATAAATTCCTGGACACATACACCCTCCCAAGACTAAACCAGAAAGAAGTTGAATCCATGAAAAGACCAATAACAAGTGCTGACATTGAGGCAGTAATTAATAACCTACCAACCAAAAAAAGCTCAGGACCAGAAGAATTCACAGCCGAATTCTACCACAAGTACAAAGAGGAGCTGGTACCATTCCTTCTGAAACTATCCCAAACAACTGAAAAGGAGGGAGTTCTCCCTAACTCATTTTATGAGGCCAGCATCATCCTGATACCAAAACCTGGCAGAGGCACAACAAAAAAAGAAAACTTCAGGCCAATATTCCTGATGAACATCGATGTGAAAATCCTCAATAAAATACTGGCAAACTGAATCCAGCAGCACATCAAACAGCTTATCCACCACGATCAAGTTGGCTTCATCCCTGGGATGCAAGGCTGGTTCAACATATGCAAATCAATAAACGTAATCCATCACATAAACAGAACCAATGACCAAAACCACACGATTATCTCAATAGATGCAGGAAAGGCCTTCAATAAAATTCAACATCACTTCATGTTAAAAACTCTCAATAAACTAAGTATTGATGGAACATGTCTCAAAATAATAAGAGGCATTTATGACAAACCTACAGCCGATATCATGCCAAATGGGCAAAAGCTGGAAGCATTCCCTTTGAAAACCAGCACAAGATAAGGATGCCCTCTCTCACCACTCCTATTCAACATAGTATTGGAAGTCTGACCAGGGCAATCGGGCAAGAGAAAGAAATAAACAGTATTCAAATAGGAAGAGAGGAAGTCAAATTGTCTCTACTTGCAGTCAATATAATTCCATATTTAGAAAACGCCACCATCTCAGCCCAGAAAACACCCTAAGCTAATAAACAACTTCACCAAAGTCTCAAGATTCAATATCAATGTGCAAAAATCACAGATATTCCTATACACCAACAATAGACAAGCAGAGAGCAAAATCATGAATGAACTCCCATTCACAATTGCTACAAAGAGAACAAAATACCTAGGAATATAGCTAACAAGGGATGTGAAGGATCTCTTCAAGAAGAGCTACAAACCACTGCTCAAGAAAATAAGAGAGGACACAACCAAATGGGAAAACATTCCATCCTCATGAATGGGAAGAATCAGTATCATGAAAATGGCCATACTGCCCAAAGCAATTTATAGATTCAATGCTATTCTCATCACATTACCATTGACATTCTTCACAGAATTAGAAAAAACTACTTTAAATTTCATATGGAACCAAAAAAGAGTTCATATAGCTGAGACAATCCTACTAAACAAAAAGAACAAAGCTGGAGGCGTCCCCTATCTGACTTCAAACTATACTACAAGGCTACAGTAGCCAAAACAGCATGGTACTGGCACCAAAACAGACATATGACCAATGGAACAGAACAGAGGCCTCAGAAATAACACCACACACCTACAACCATCTGATCTTTGACAAATCTGACAAAAGCAAGCAATGGGGAAAAGACTCCCTATTTAATAAATTGTGCTGGGAAAACTGGCTAGCCATATGCAGAAAACTGAAACTGGACCCTGTCCTTATACCTTATACAAAAATTAACTCAAGATGGATTAAAGACTTAAATGTAAAACCCAAAACCATAAAAACACTAGAAGAAAACCTAGGCAATACTATTTAGGACATAGGCATGGGCAAGGACTTCATGATGAAAATGCCAAAAACAATTGCAACAGAAGCCAAAATTAACAAATGGGATCTAATCAAACTAAAGAACTTCTGCACAGCAAAAGAAACTATCATCAGAATGAACCGGCATTCTACAAAATGGGAGACAATTTTTGCAATCTACCCATCCGACAAAGGTCTAATATCCAGAATCTCCAAGGAACTTAAACAAATTTACAAAAAAAAAAAAAAAAACCTTATCAAAAACTGGGGAAAGAATATGAACAGACACTTCTCAAAAAAAAGATATTTATGTCTTTACTTTAAGCTCCTCCTCAGACAATGGGAGCGTCCAACAAGCATATGAAAAAAAGCCCAACATCACTGATCATTAGAGAAATGCAAATCAAAACCACAATGAGATACCATCTCATGCTAGTCAGAATGGTGATTATTAAAAAGTCAAGAAACAATAGATGCTGGCAAGGCTGTGGAGAAATAGGAATGCTTTTACAGTGTAGGTGGGAATATAAATTAGTTCAAACATTGCAGAAGACAGTGTAGTGATTCCTCGAGGATCTAGAACCAGAAATACCATTTGACCCAGCAATCCCACTACTGGGTATATACCCAAAGGAATATAAATCATTCTACTATAAAGACATATGCATACATATGTTTATTGCAGCACTGCTTACAATAGCAAAGACATGGAACCAACCCAAATGCCCATCAATGATAGACTGGAATAAGAAAATGTGGTACATATATACCATGGAATAACTATGCAGCCATTAAAAGGAATGAGATTATATCCTTTGCAGGGACATGGATACAGCTGGAAGTCATCATCCTCAGCAAACTAACACCAAAAAACAAAAATGAAATACCGCATTTTCTACCTCATAAGTGGGAGTTGAACGATGAGAACACATGGACAAATGGAGGGGAGCAACACAGGGCTAGTAGGGGTTTCGGGGGTGAGGGGAGGGGAGGGAGAGCATGAGGACAAATAGCTAATGCATGCAGGGTTTCAAAACTACATGATAAGTGGATAGGTGCAGCAAACCACCATGGCACACATATACCTATGTTACAAACCTACACGTTCTGCACTTGTATCCCAGAACTTAAAGTAAACTTTAAAAAAAAAAATAAGAGGAATTTACATCACTCAAATACTAATAGTGTCTGTTGGAAGTTTTGTTTTTGAGGAAAGTATGACAACTTTGTTTTTTTAAAAAAATAGTTGCATCTTTTTAAGTGGAAGAATGAGGTTGTAATGATTGTTATATGTTAGTTGAAATATGAATAGAAATGTGTGAGCAAATGCCATGCACTGAAATGGGGTAAAGTGTGCCAGTTACTCGCCTATCATTTTTAGTCTCATACCAAGCCTTCTTATCCTGCTCTATCATGATGGGGGTAGGAGTCTGTAAACTGCATTTCCAGACCTCCTCACCAGATCATTTCTCATTAGGTTTGGCCCATGGGAGCCTCTTGAAGAATTTTGGAAAGAAGGAGAAGAGAAGAAACTCAATTTCAGCTTCCAATTTCTGTCAGAATCCTTTCAACAGCAGTTGATAACTATAGCTTCAACATGTTTCATCATTCCCAGAAAAAGTACATGGCATGATCTCAGTCGTCCCAACAATAGCAAAGTGGTACTCTCTTAAATGTCCCAGCAGAGCCTGGCACTCACTCATATGTCAGTATATCTTCCATTGACCCAGAGTCTCTGAAACTGTGGTAACTTATCCAGTGTCTTAGATCCTGAGATAGTGGAATCTCCTGAAGTTATGACAACTCTTCAGACAATGGGAGCTTTTGAGGAAGTGGCTTCTCCTTCTGACTTGTAAATTGTGACAACATCCCCCTGTTGCTTTCCCACACTTACAGACAATAGCAGCTTCCTGCAGTTACCAACCTCTCATACTTTTAGATTTTCCAGCTTTTCAACACCTGCATAAACACTTTGCTTAATTAGACTCCCAGTTCTTGAAACACCTTGCAGAGCTCCCTTTTTTCTAAGTAGAATATGACTAAAACAGTGCCCCAAATGGCAGGGTGCTTTTCGTGGGATGAAAATCAGTGACTCATGCAATAACTATTTAATATATTTCACTATCTGATTTGTGCTTCCAAAAGCATGCCTACCCTACTTGAAAATAATATTGTTAAGGCATTATTACCTTGTAATACAGTTAAACGTACAGCCATGGTGCACCAACAGCATTATTCCCCTTGTATTGTGCAACGTGACTAAAGAGTGTTGGGATTTCTTGAAGAGACAAAGCATCTCTAAGAGCCCAGAAGTAATGCTCTCGATAGTAGAAATAGAATAAAATGGAAGACCTTCCAGAGAGGGAAAAATTAAAGGGCTTAAGAATACTTAAGTAGAATTTGAGTGAGGTTTTGTAATATGTATTCCTTTATGTGACAGAAATTCAAAGTCAACATGCTCAGGAAAATATTACCTCTTTCTGTTCATCTGCATGGTTCTTTCCTAACTCTGGCATCCTGCATCCCCTATGTATTTTATTGTCTGCCATTTGATACAAGAGTAGAGTTGGTGAAATATTGGATTCTTAAGAAGTTTATAATCCTAATATTTCCAGAATGTTAAGATATTGATGTAGACATAAAATTAACATAGATGGGGACATAGATAGAGATACATTTAATACTCAAAGAATGATCAACCATCCTTATTGGACACTTGAGGAGCTTCTTAATGGATACGAACTTGTCTGAAAAAAGTAAACATTCCTCATGCAGTTCTTTTGGGCAATTGATGAACAATTTTATGTAGGCTTTTAATTTTTTACATAGGAGAAATTGGGTTAGTCACTTATAATCTACTAGATACTAAAATTTGATATTTTCAAACTAATGCATGTGTATAGTAAAATTTATTAAATGATTGAAATTAGTATTCTAAGTAGTCTGCCTACAGATGTCCTTCCAGAACACCTACTGAAAGATAGTTTTAAAAACTTGAGGTTTGGAAAATACTTAATTACTTGTTGTTATCAATGTTGTCTTAAGCTGGTCATGGTCTATATGCTTGCTTTTTGTTTTAATGTTGCCATTATTTTAGCATCATTGATGCCAATTTAGTTTTTGGGATAAGCAAACAAGGCCAGCATGTTGATAAAGTAGCCAGAAACTACTGAAGTTTATTATATATTGCATAAATGGATGGTTTCATGTAAGTTTTATATTCATGAAAGTATTACAGGCTTATAATTTGGATAGAGGGACAAAGAAAGAGGAATGGAGTGACTGTGAGAGTTTCATCTTCAACAAAGGCAAAGAGGGAGCTGTTTTCCCATGACAAATTCAGGAGAATTTCACAGGCTAAGGAACTTGCCAGGGGAGCAGTAGCCCTGCAGACAACCATCAGAGTGTAGAGGTTGAGGTTACTCCCATTCTCTGGCTGTTTGAGCCTTGTTTCTTTTACCATATGGGGCTGACCTATATATGTGTATATGAGTATCTGTCTATAGTGTAGGTTACTATACTATATATGTAGGTTACTATTACTATACTACATAGGTATAATTCCAACAAGAAATTATTGAGAGGGATGACTGTGTTCTGATGTGGGTCTGAATCTGTCATGAACAAGGTATTAAGTGGGAGAAAACCAATCCCTAAGCTAGAGGACATGGGCCAGACTGCTACTATATTTCACATAACACAAGATAATGTCTCAAAGAGGCAGAATAAGTTAGCAAAAGTATACTTGATCATTTTTAGAGTATCAAATGAATGCATTAATAAGTAAAAATTTTCAAGAAATATTCTCTTTAATTCATGAATCATATTAATTATTAATACCAAGAGGATAGAAGAAGGGTACAGATTCCAACTAAAATGCATTCTGTGCAGAATTCATGGTGGCATAGATTCTTCCTGGAGCCTTTTGCAGTCATAAGGCTCCCCTGCCCGCTGGCACTGCAAACCAGTCAGCCCTGAGCTGTCTCTCCCTCTGGCCAGATATTATTGCTGAAAGAGATGAGCATTTCACTACCCTAGCAACACTATCCTCTCCTGTTTCCTTAGTAGCAACAGGGAATCCAAAAAAATTAGCCAGAGGGCAAGAGCCAAAGCCTGGAGAGGACAACCTAGGCTTCTGGAGCCATTAGAAAGCAAGGGTCCATGGTGTATTCAAAGGAAAGAGGGTTTATAAGCAAAAAAGAAAAAAACAAAGAAAAAATGTAGTGCATATCCCTTGTCAAGTACATGAATGGTATTATATGTCTCTCGAATTACAAAGCTGAAATTTCTGTAAAGAGCTGGAAATTTAGTCCTGCACTCAGCTGATTTGCTTAATTATAGGAAATCTAAAGTATCCCATTAGTTCAGATTCTACTGTATTATTAAGGGGAGCTTTTTAGGGATAGAAATGTCTCTGAAATATGAGAAAGCTTTCTTGATGCTGTAGGTGAACTTATCTCCCAGTCATCATCTTCCCAACTCAGCTTTAACGTCTGGAGTAGTGTTACCCCAGACACAACAGTTACTTAATCTCATTTCATTTTTCAATGTCAGGGCACATTAATATTTTATAAATGGAAACAAAGTCCAATTCTAGTTTTTTCTCTTATAAAGAAGGCCATGTATATTTTAAACAGGCATGATTACTTTTGTAATTATAATTTTATAATTATGAATCTAATAGGAATCTAAGATTCTTCTTTTGCTCCCTTTATTTTATCAGACTCTCCAATAATATTTGGCATATAGAAACCAACTATCTTCTCAATGCATTAGACAAAAGAAAATGCCAAATGTAGTGCTGCAAGGATATTTCACTAAAAAGAAACTATAGAAAACAATGACTTTCTATAAAGAAAAATTTTTAAAAATTATAACTTAAAACCACTCAGGGTAAATGCATACGGTCACAATGCTTTATTTACTCTTTTATTATTTAACCAAAATGCTGATGTTTACATGGATTTGTGGTTGCCAAACATTAATAAAGTAATTTTTAAAAGGACCATCAACTAATAATTGCAAAGGACTTAACTCATGTGACCTAGTTCCAAATTTTTTTCACTCCGTGTGGGAGACAACTTAGTGTATTTAAACAACAACAAAAAATTCTTTCATGGGGACAAATACATCTCTCCTGAGTTATTATTTCATAGCATCCATGTCAGAGGAGGTTGAGACAGTGTGGATCACTGACACACACAGTCCAGATTGCATACAGCATGGTTTTATTTCACTGTGCAGTCATAATTCAGGGGTTTTTCTCCCACCTGCCATATGCAAATTTTCTATCACTCAGTCCCTTTCATCACTGAATTTTTTTTCCCAAAGTACTCTCAATATTTTAAGAAAGAAACAAATAAAGGAAAGCACCACTATCCACCAACGAACATAACACCCTTCTCCATAAGTGTTTTTAAACATCTAGTACTACATCTTCTCATTATGTTGGTGAGAAAAAATACATTAGCAATAATCTAAGACAGGTAATCTCCAAGTTATTTCTCTAAGTCCATCAAAGACCTCAGTATCCACTAAAACAGGTGGGTCCCTTGGAACTGGAATGCAGAATGTCTAGATTCTTGTCTTTATCTCTGCGCTTCAACTACCTTCATCATTCTTTCTTCCTCTTCACTTTGGTGTTTATCATTCTATATCATTTAAGAGAAAAATAGTGGCTGGGTGCAGTGGTTCAAGCCTGTAATCCCAGCACTTTGGGAGGCCGAGGTGGGCTGATCACCTGAGGTCAGGAGTTCGAGACCAGCCTGGTCAATATGGTGAAACCCCATCTCTACTAAAAATACAAAAATTAGCCAGATGTGGTGGCAGGCTCCTATAATCCCAGCTACTCAGGAGGCTGGGGCAGGAGAATCGCTTGAATCCAGGAGGCAGAATTTACAGTGAGCTGAGATCACGCCACTGCACTCCAGCCTGGGCAGCAGAGTGAGAATCTGTCTCAAAAAAAAAAAAAAGAAAATGTGTACGTTGTATCTGGCAAATAAGAAAACAAAGGCAGATGAGTATAAGTATGTATTAATCATTTATTGCCTAATAGGCATTATTGTCTTTTCACAAATAAATTTTAAGTTTCAGGAGAACAGAAACACTTCCCATCTTGTTAATCTCCAGAGCACTAATGCAGTGAAAAGAAGAGGGGAAGGCTCAGGAAAAACTAATTGGCTTTTCCTGCCTACTTTTTTTCTCCATTATTATTAAAATCATCTTAAATTCAGGAATGATGTTTATTTTTGGGTACATATGCTCAAATACCTGGGACCAGGAGTGGGATCTACTTTCTGGGCAATTTAAAGCACTCTTTCAACAGGATCTTGAGAGTCAACTGTGTTTTATGCACAGTGAGTGAAAATCAATGATCTGTCTATGCCTATCACAGCGTGTCACATCTCTGATAAAATAACACCCATGATACTTTAACACTAGCCAAATGAAATGTCTTCAGCTTTTACTCCTAATTTTATTCACATTTTCTACAAAGCACCCACGAAGGTCATTTGAATCACAGTTATGGTGTTGTTTTTTTTTCTTTCAAGGAATGATTCCCTTAGCAATCTTATTGTTCTTGCTGAATTAAAATTATGCAAATTTGGTGATTTTAATACAGTATCTGCTACCAATATGGTAAAGAGTAACATCTAAATATTTTGAATCTATAAATACTTTTAGATCAATCATTTTCTGAGTTTATGAAAAACAAATGCTACACTCTACTTGTAAATTACTCAGAAATCTTTTGCAACTCAATATAACTAATTATGTAAATGCACAGTTGAGGAAAATCATTTTATTTAAACATACATAAAATACAATTTTTTTGACAATTCGGGAACTACATTACCTTAATTTAAATCTATTTTCTACGTCTATGATGATATTGATGTGCACAGTCATATTAACCCTAGAGACTTGTCCATAATTTATTTTCAAGCATAATATAATGGTGTGGGAAAATGATACCCAAACTTATATATAAAGTATGCTGCCCCATATGTGAAGGTATAGTTATTGGCTCACCATTGCTGGCATATGTACGTGAGAGCTGTTGCTCCAGGAATGGAAATCAATTTGAGATGATCCACACACACTTTCTCATCTGTCTTTATAATCAAAATTATACATCTGCAGCTCAGGTGGCCAACAAGCATGTGGCCATCTCTGCTTGGAGATACAAATGAAGCTAACTGGTCCTATAAAGGTGAAACTTACTACTTAGCTCCATCAAGGTAATGTTTTCACACAACCCTGCAACTAATTTGACTCAAGGATACATACACATGCATAATACGGAAAGAACAAAAAATCAGTTTTTTATTGCCAACACTCTAAGGATCTCTGATCATCTAGGAAAAAAATATAAACTACTAGCAAGATGTACAAGACCCACCTTGAATTGATAACTTTTTACATATCACTTCAACCTCAACCACTCTCTCATTCATTTAACAAATATTTATAGAGGACATATGCTAAGCCAGCACTGTAATAGATACAGTGGGCACAAATATAAGCAAGTAATAAGTTCTTTCCTCAAAGAGCTTTCAGTTTAGTGGGAGAAAAGCAATAAAAAACAATAACAGCGAAAAATAACATGGCATTTTCTGTCCACATTCCTCAAGGGGCGTTAATAAGATTGGGGGAAATTCTCAAAGAAGAAACAGCCATGATAGATGACTAAGAATCAGCCATGCAGAGAAGATGTTGAAAATACCAGGCACTCAGCTATCTGTTTAGACCGTCAGCCTTTCCTAATCCTTCAAGCTCAAATTGTGCCCCCCATGTGTGTTTTTGCAACACTTTTCAATTCCTGTGATAACAGTATAATTGTAACTTCTTCTTTATTTGCTTCCACCCATCCTTCTAGAAGTATATTTCTATGTGTCTCTTTGTTTTCAAGTCCCAGTAGTCTATAACCTACATAAAAGATAGGACTGTATTTTTATTTTAATAGGTGTCAGAACTTCCAATATCTTGAAATGCCATGGCATAGAACAAGAACTAAGTAAATAATTATTGAATTACAGCTGAGGGAAAGAATAGTTTGTACAAAAGCACAAATGTGTGAAACAACATGACAGGGAGTCAGTATGACTGGAGGAATATACAATGGGGTCCAGGATAGAGATGGTTCTAATTCTTCACAAGAATGGTGACCCTTTTGCAATATAAATTAATGGGTCAATTACAGCTTTGAAGCTGTACTTCTTAGATTGTGTCCTAACTCTAACATTCACTGTTTTATCTTGGAAATGATACTTAATCTCCCTATGCCTCATTTCATTTCTCTGTAAAGAACCCACTTCCAGATTCTTTTGTATGTTAAAATGAATTAATGTATATACACTTAGAATAGTTCCCTTCACATGGTAAGCAATCAACATATGTTAGCTAATATTTCTAGGCAAAGAAATTTGCCCTTTTTTGAAAACAATGAGGAGCCTGAAAAATTTTAAGCAGTGATGTGGTATAAGCACCTTGGACTCTGTATCAGTCAGGATTCACTTCAGGAAATAGAAACCGTCGCTTACCAACCTAGTTGATAGTTAGCTGTTGCATAATTGTCTTCAAGCTGTGTTTCCCAAAGGTATGCACACATTTTATTTATCCCTAATTCTGCACCTTCTATAGATTCTGTCCCATAGTAGTTCCTCAATAAGAATAACCTTTTATCCAAACCTTTTTATTCTACTAAAGGCTTTTTAAGCCATCTCTCTAAGAATGAGTTAGGATTATTGCTGCATAATTTCTTGCCAAATAATAGATGTCATGAAAACAAACCAATCTAGAGGGGAAGAAAATATAATTCAGATACAAATCCATGCAGAGTTGGAAGAGATTAGCAATATAATTTAGAGCAGTGCCATGGTCTGTGAGGCACATCCCTTCTGCCAATGAACTCAGAACAAGGAAGTAGGAACCATCTGCAGGCTCATCCAAAACCACTCCAGCGAACAACCTCCACGCCAGCAGGTCACCATCCACATTTTTTCTCTTTGGGTTCCAGGTGTGGAATTATCAAGTTGTTCATTTATTCAGGACACACACCTGCCAACAGCTTTTCCCATAATAATCCACACAGCTTCTTTCAATCCTTCCTGTTTTCCAAAATCAATAATATGCTGCTGCCCATGCTAAGTTCCTCAGGATAACAAACTACTGAGCAGCCATAGATAAATATCTAATCCCCAACCAAATATGATATTTCAAACATGGCAAGTCTGAATTTGCCACCCTGTAGTAAAAACCTTGGCAGTTGCCTATGGCTTATACCACACTGGTTCTAGAGATTCTTGCTGTAGTGTATTCTTACAAGTGAGGCCATTTCAGAAAGATATCCCTTGAATCTTTCAACTACCAAACCTTATTATATTGCCTACAGAAAGACTTTAATTCCACTTTAGGGCAATTTATGTTACAGATGTTTCTCTGTATTAAAGCCTGCTTCAAGAGTCTGTCTCTACTCTCTGTGCGTAAAATACAGAAGAATGTGTAGTTGGTAGGAAGCAATTAGAAGAGGAGGTTTGAAGTAGGAGGGCGTTGAAACAATCATGATAGAGATCAATCTTCCCAAATCGCTGCTGGAGAAAAACTTACTTCTTATCAGAGCAGAGAAATTACAGAATTTTTGTTTTGTTTCATTTAAAGACAGGATCTTGCTCTGCCACCCAGGCTAGAGTGCAGGAGCGCAGTGGCACATGCAATCACAGATCACTGCAGCCTCCAACACCTGGGTGTAAGCGATCTTCCCACCTCAGCCTCCTTAGTAACTAAAACTACAGGTGTGTGCCACCACTCCCAGCTAATTTGTTGTTGTTGTTGTAGAAATGGGGCCTTGTTACTTTCCCCAGGTTGGTCTTTAACTCCTGGCCTCAAGTGATTTTCCCATCTTGGCCTCCCAAAGTACTGGGGTTGCAGGCATGAGCCACCATGCCTAGTCAGAGCACAGAATTTAAAAGAATTTTCTGTTGAGCCAAGAGTCATGTGCGTGTGTCATCGATGGAGGTGCCCTGGTCAGGTCTCCCTCGAGGGAATCTGCTGCTGGGACTATGATTGACTGACAGGCTTCAGCTGCCATAACTGTAGATCCATGACAGCATTCACCCCAGTTTGTGCTTCTTCCAGGCATCTCCTAGCCTATGACTAAGCACAGCAGGGGCTAGAAAAAGGCATAGCTACCCAGTGCAGGGTGAAAATCTGGCTCAGGGGCTTCTCATATGTCTGTCCGAAACTTTCTCAGAACTAATCTCCAATAAGGGGTTCTTCTTACTCAGCACTTCCTTCCCATTATCCTTTCAGGTTCCAGACCTATATTGTAATCTGAAGCGTTCTCCTTGCCCACTACTCTTGCTGCCTCCCCTCTTATCTTTCACAGGAACATCATACTTTATGGGGTCCAATACTGTGACTATCACTGTGCAATTTTCTAAGCCAAGCAGAGAAGTTTAACGCTTTTATATTATATCCCAGTTTTAAGCTGTAAGGGATGAAATGGAATTCACAGGAAAAAAGAATATAGAATTCCATGAGCCAAGTTCAAAGAAGTAGGATCACCTGAGGTAAGGAGTTCTAGACCAGCCTGGCCAACATGGTGAAACCCCATCTCTGCTAAAAATACAAAAATCAGCCAGGTGTGGTGGCACGACCCTGTAATCCCAGCTACTCGGGCTCGGGAGGCTGAGGCAGGAGACTCAGCTTGAACCTTGGAGGCGGAGGTTGCAGTGAGCCAAGATGGTACCACTGCACTCCAGTCTGGGTGACAGAGTGAAACTCCATCTCAAAAAAAAAAAAAAAAAAAAAAAAAAAAAAAAAAAAAAAAAAAGTTTGACTTTAAAAATAACATAATATGTGAAATGTACAGACATACACACATGCACACACCCACCTATAGCTATACCTATCTACCTTTTCTTTTCAGACAGGGTCTCACTGTGTTACCCAGGCTAGTCTTAAACTCTTGGGCTCGAGCAATCCTCCCACCTCAGCCTATTGAGTAACTGGGACTACATGTGCACACCACCACACCTAGCCATTACCCATCTATCTTATATTTTAAAAAAACAAAATAATGCAGATATGCATATATTACTCATATTACATATATAAATGTGTGTGTTTAAATCTTCCTTGGTTTCCTGAGCAATCTTTGCACTATTCTATTAATCAGAAGTTGCATAATAAACTTTGCCATTTATTAGTTTTGTTTTCATCTTGGGTTCAATTAAATAAAATCCTAAATATTTGTGGGTAATTTGAGATGGGTTTTAATTATTATTTAATATAACTGCCTCCCTCTCCCTTGCTGATATCATGGTAAGTAAATCTTGATAACGGGTTTTGGCAAAGTGAAATTCTTTGAATATACAATCACTGACCTACAGCTTTGTTTTGTTTTCCTTTGTTTTTGAGACAGAGTCTCTCACTCTGTTGCCCAAGCTGGAGTGCAGCAGCACAATTTCAGCTCACTGCAACCTCTGCCTCCCGGGTTCAAGCGATTCTCCTGCCTCAGCCTCCTGAGTAGCTGGGACTACAGGCACACACCACCACACTCAGCTAATTCTTGTATTTTTAGCAGAGATGGGTTTTCACCATGTTGGCCAGGCTGTTCTCAAAAGCCTAACCTCAGGTGATCCACCCCCATCAGCATCCCAAAGTGTTGGAATAACAGGTGTGAGCCACTGCACCCAGCCTACAGCATATTAATAGGATTTTTGCTTAAAGATATTTCACAAACTGAATGTGGAAATAGCTTGTGCCATTGCTATACCATCCTCTAAGTAGTTTATCTGCACTGTGAATTTAAGATTAATACTCTAATTATTGTGAAATACTCCCAAGGCACAAAAGCTTGTTTTTTTTTATAGTGAGTTTTGAAAACCTATTGCAGATCTCTAGTCCTTATTGATCTGCAATGCTGCTGCTCTATGGGTTTGTATGTTTGGAGCTCCTACTGGATTATAAGAAAAGCCTATGAATATTCTTTCTTGTCATTTCAGAGTTACCAAAGTAATAGGTAAATGTGGATGTTCTCATATAAAATGCCTCCACAGCTAACATTTCTAAAGATAATTACCAATATAAACTGATCAGCAGCAGTACTTGTCAATTTAGAGGAAAGGAGTTTTCCAGTCACCTTGCTAGACAGCCTACAACTCATTTTGGAAAAACTTACTTAAAATTTAATGTGGCCCTGAAAACTTTCTTCATTCTCTCCTAGTCTACCTACATATTTAATTCTTCCAATAATATTTACCTCCTTTTATTTTGGAAGCTAAAAGAATTTAGCAATCCCCCTTAATAAGCTTTAAAACTAAATCTACTGAGCCCCACACACCATCTAAGCCTGGTAGTTCTGCAGAATCAAGGCTCATCTAAAGGGAGATAGAAAAAAATACATATTTTCTCCTTGATCTATATGGTAACTTCCTAAATTTTAGACTAGCTTCATACTGATTTAAAAGTATGCATGAGGCAATGTGTATTTATCTGTATTACTAGCGCATATGGTTTGGCTCTAACACACAAGTCAAGAACCCAGAAGTGTCAAACTCTATTACCAACTCTAGGAAAAACTAATTGTACTTTCACATTTAAAACTGGAATGGGGTTATTGGGACACAGCCAACCAAAACCATAGTAGGTAATTCTGTAATTATAACATGCAAATAGTTAAGAAGGTAAAAACCCCAAACATTTTATTTTCTCAACATTTTAAGGTTTTCTTTTTATATCTCTCTCTTAAATTCTCAGTTATTTTTCTTTTAGTAGAAATTTAAGTTTAATGTATTAAATGGCACACAAATATTGATGTGAATAATAGATGCCCAAGGTGCAAACTACACGTGTCACAAATCGCCCTATTTGGCTTTGAGAGGTAGTTAAACAGTATCCTCTCAGAGCCACACTGCACATTAAAAGTAAAAAGACGTCCTGGGATAGAGTAAAGCTTCTGAAATGAAACTGCACATATGTGGGGAAGGCTTGGCAGCAGCAGGATCCTTTAGAATAAGGGGAAGAATGGAAGAAATGAACAAGCACTTACATTGCTGAGTGCCTTTTATGTGACAAGAGCTCTATAATTCTCAACACAACAGCCTGTATTTACACTAATCATAGCATTTATACCAGGAGTGCTGATTATCTCTTACATGCCTATCTTCTCTACTGGATTTTAAGTTTATTGAGTGCAAGATCAAATATTACTTATTATTTATTTTTGCCAAAACATTATCTACCAGTGACTAGCACAAAGTAGGTAATCAATAGATATTGGTTGACTTAATGAATAAGCCAATTTCCTAACAATTAGTATTCCCATTTGATGAACAAAGAGACTAAGGCCCCCAAGAGTTAAGTGACTTGTACAGATCACACAGATCACACGGGTTAGTAATAGCTGAAGAGGAATACAAATCCAAGCCTGTCTGATTTTGAGAACCAACTTTCTACTGCACCAAGCAGCTCTATGGATGCCATAGTGGACCAAGCCTCAGAGAAGAGCCTTAGGGTTTGTGAAAGGATGGCAGTAGAAGAGAAAACTTTCACACATCTTCCCGTGAACATGAAAGATTTCAGAGAAGTAAAAATGAAGAGGACAATTTTATTTCTGGGTACAGTTCAAACTAGGACAAAAATCATAGCATCGGGGTAGGGAAAGTCTCTCATATTTCCTGGCAGCCTCTTCAATAGTGGCTTTTCCTCTCCAACAGTTTGTGTTCATTTGCTTTTCTCTGTGCTTCCTTCCTGTCTTTCCCAGCACAGCTTCTTTCCTTATGAGGTTTAGAATTCCAGGGAGACATCTGTATACAAGGTCCAGGAAAAGCAGCTAAGAAGTCATGGTACAGACTATGGAGTCCATCTGTGAGAGTCCCATCCCCACTCTGCCCCATTCTAACCAGGTGACATTGGGCAAATGATTCAATCTCTCACAGTCTCAGTTGCCTCCCCTGGAAAGTGAGAGTATTAATAATAGAACCTATCTACTGTATAAGAATTAAGTGAGTTAACACATGTCAAGTGCTGAGAACAGTAGCTAGAACATGGTAGGAACTTAATGACAAGTAGCAATTACCATTACCATATCCTTGACCCTAAAATTCAGGAGCACAGCAAGCTGCCTGCATAACACAGCCCACTGATCTGCAAACACATCTATAATGTTCTAGGTTAGGCTTGGGACATAGAGACCCAACATAAAACTCCCCTCCCAAAGGCAGGAGTGAAGTGTTGCTGGAAGTAAGTGAAACAAATCTGAATAATATTTTCTAATATCCCTCGATTTAAATAGGCAATAGCTTGGAGCATAAGCAGCTGTAGTTGGGGTCTTTTCCTCCACGCCAATCACTACATGTAAAAACCATTCTTGTGTGTCTAGAGAAAGAAAAAAGAGTAGCCTTTCCTCATTACTCTTCTCTGAGCATGTGAAATAGTATTGCAAGTTTACTTCAGTACAAGAATGAATTCTACTGTTTCTTCATCTGGATTGCTGAAGACTTAAGGTAAGGGAGACTATGCCCAATTTATTTGGAAATTACAAATATATAAGAAGCTAGGACCAATTTATTTGGAGCCATTTTCTTAGTTATGAGTACTCATCAGAAAAAGCAATGATTAGGATGGTAGAGGGGTAGGGGCTGACATAACTAAATAAGGACCTATTTGTTTTTCATATAACAACATATCCAAAAGTGTGCAGTCTATGGATGGTGCAATTGCTTAAATAGGTTATCAAGGACTTATTCTGTCCTTACTCTGCTCTCATTCAGATGCATCTTTCAGGCTTTATTTATAAGATGGCTGTTTTAATGCTAGTCATTGGGTTGAAGATCACAGAAAATGAAATGAAGGAGAAGGGCAAAGGACAGAAGGTTGAAAAATCAAACCAGAAATATACAGCTCCTTTAAAACAGCCTTCACAGAATCTCCACCCAGTGATTTGCTGCACCCAGTGATTTCCATCTTCGTGGCCAAAAATTCTTGGCTCAATCACACGAAACTGTTGTTAATAAACTATGCCATGCATTTAAAAATATGGCTTATGATCCAATCGAATATGGCATATGGAGACAAGTAACACTGAGAGACAGGATGTTTTGCCTGGACGCATTGCCACTCTAGACAGAATTGAGCTTCCATCAGTGAGAATAAATGACTAAATAAATATTAAGGAAACAACTAGCAGTGTCACCCATGTTCACAAAAGAAGAAGTCTAAAGACTGCCTGTGTCCTCATAAGAAATTCTCTAAAATGGCCAGGACACCATGAATAACAACAATAAAGAGCCATAATGTATTTTCTCAGTGGAATAGAATAATCCTCCACTTTAGTGGAGCATGTACCCAGACACAGCATTAAAACAAGTATATTAATAAATACAAATATAGGCCTATAAAAACAAAGCTCTACAGCAATAACATCTCATGGCATCAGCTCCCAGTCCTTCTCTTAGGTTGTCAGTGGTGACCAAATGGTTAATATAAACATGCTTTTAGCTTATGTTCCAAAGCAAAGGTTTAAAAGATGCCAAAGTAAAGACTAATGATACCCAAGAGGTATCAACCTACAGTCATTTTTTGGCAACAACATATAAGAAAATGCACATTTCACTTTTAAGAAAAGAAATGCATGATGAGATTGTATACAACAGTTTGAGAGAAAGGCAAATGGGCATCACAAAGAAAATATGCCAAATGGGACAAAGGAAGGAATCTGAAAAATCACTGTAGAAAAGTAATAAGATGGATAACAAGGTTAAGCAAGTCATGCAAAAGGATAATGGAAAAGGGAAGAAAGGCAATGAAATACAAATGATACATATGAGAGGTACATCATGGTATGTAACATAGAAATAATTCTTGTGTTTGAAAAGTGGTAAATATATGCAAAAACAATAATTAACTATTTAACAAATATTTCTACTTGAGGTAGTATTAGAGACTACATTCCCTGAAAAAATTCTCAGTACATAAAAAGTATAAATACATAATAAAATCTGATTCAAAAAATACTTGTAAATATAGATCTGAACTAGCAAAACCATAAAGGAGTTCCTCAAACACCAAAATAAGTAGATGATACATACGTACAAAATATATACATAGCAGTTCTCATTCCTATGCAGGAGCTAGGAAAGTAGATCTCATGAAGATGGGGAGTATATTGGTGGTTACCACAGGCCAGGAAAGGTAAGGGAGAGAAGAGGATAAAGAGAGGTTGATTAATGGATACGAAAATACAGTTAGATAAAAGGAATAAGATCTAGTGTACAATGGATCAATAGAATTACTATAGTAAACAGTAATCTATATTAAATTTTAAAATAGGTAATAGAGAATAAGCATTTCCAGCATAAAGAAAAATGTTTAAGGTGATGGATATCCCAATTATCACGATTTGATTATTACACATTATATGAATGTATCAAAATATCACATGTATCCTCAAAATATGTTACATCTGTTACATATGAATTTTTTAAAAAACAGATTATACCAAAACATTAAAAAATGTAGATACATAGATTTCATGCACATCCATGTGAAGAGACCACCAAACAGGCTTTGTGTGAGCAACATGGCTGTTTATTTCACCTGGGTGCAGGCGGGCTGAGTCCGCAAAGAGAGTCAGCGAAGGGAGATAAGGGCGGGGCCGTTTTATAGGATTTGGGTAGGTAAAGGAAAATTACAGTCAAAGGGAGTTTGTTCTCTGGCAGGCAGGAGTGGGGGTCGCAAGGTGCTCAGTGGGGGTGCTTTTTGAGCCAGGATGAGCCAGGAAAAGGACTTTCACAAGGTAATGTCATCAGTTAAGGCAAGGACCAGCCATTTACACTTCTTTTGTGGTGGAATGTCATCAGTTAAGGTGGGGCAGGGCATATTCACTTCTTTTGTGATTCTTCAGTTACTTCAGGCCATCTGGGCGTATAGGTGCAAGTCACAAGGGATGCGATGGCTTGGCTTGGGCTCAGAGGCCTGACATTCCTGCCTTCTTATATTAATAAGAAAAATAAAACAAGATAGTGTTGAAGTGTTGGGGCGGCGAAAATTTTTGGGGGGCGGTATGGAGAGAGAATGGGCGATGTTTCTCAGGGCTGCTTCAAGCGGGATTAGGGGCAGCTTGGGAACCTAGAGTGGGAGAGATTAAGCTGAAGGGAGGTCTTGTGGTAAGGGGTGATATTGTGGGGATGTTAGAAGAAACATTTGTCTTATAGAATGATTCGTGATGGCCTGGATACGGTTTTGGATGAATTGAGAAACTAAATGGAATAACAGAAGGAGAAAAACAGGTATAAAAGGTCTAAGAGTTGGGACGACTCAGGATAACTGATTAGAGAGTGCCTAAGGAGATTCAGCATAGTCCTGCCAGCAAAGATTATTTATTTACTTCAAGAGTTAAGAGTGGCAGTTTGGGGATAGCACCAGGAGATATCAGCTGTGATGGCTTGGAAAAACAGTGTAAACCGGCAGTGTAAACAAGAGCAGGGCATGTATGAGTAGTTGAGAACAGTGAATAGGAGTATGACTAGACAGAAGATAGTAGGGATGACAAGTTTTTTGGGGCACAGTCTAAGTTGGTCTGGTGTCTGGAATGAGACTGGGGCCTAATAAAAAGGAGCATCTATACAGGACCTTAAATGGGCTGTACCCTGTAGCATTCAGAGGACAGGCCTGAATTCTGAGAAGGGAAAGTGGTAAAAGTATTGTCCAGTCCTTTTTAAGTTGGTGGCTGAGCTTGGTGAGGTGTGTTTTTAAAAGACCTTTAGTCCATTCTACTTTTCTTGAAGATGGAGGACTGTAAGGGATATAAAGGTTTCACTGAATACTAAGAGCCTGAAAAACTGCTTGGCTGATTTGACTAATAGGCTCATCTGTTATCAGACTGTATTGAGGTGGGAAGGCTAAACTGAGGAATTATGTCTGACAGAATGGAAGAAATGACTGCGGTGGCCTTCTCAGACCCTGTAGGAAAGGCCTCTACCTATCCAGTGAAAGCATCTACCTAGACTAAGAGGTATTTTAGTTATCTGACTCAGGGCATGTTGAGTAAAGCTAATTTGCCAGTCCTGGGTGGGGCAAATCCTTGAGCTTGATGTGTAGGGAAGGGAGGGGGCCTGAATAATCCCTGAGGAGTAGTAGAACAGCAGATGGAACACTGAGAAGTTATTTCCTTGAGGATAGATTTCCATGATAGAAAGGAAATGAGAGGTTCTAAGAGGCGGGCTAGTGGCTTGTACTATAGTATAACCTGCCTTTGCTGGTATGTGGCGATTAGGCCTGGTGGAACTGCCATCAATAAATCAAGCCTGATGAGGGTGAGGAACAGGAAAGAAGGAAATTTGGGGAAATGGGGTGAATGTCAGGTGGATCAGAGAGATACAGTCGTGGGGGTCAGGCGTGGTATCAGGAATAATGTGGGAGGCCGGACTGAAGTCCGGGCCAGGAACAACGGTAATTGTGGGAGACTCAAAAAAGAGTGAGTATAGCTGAAGGAGCTGGGGAGCAGAAAGTATATGCATCAGGTATGAGGAAGAAAATAGATTTTGGAAGTTATAAGAACTGTAGAGAGTGAGTTGAGCATAGTTTGTGATTTTGAGGGCCTCTAAAAGTATTAAAGCAGCGGCAGCCGCTGCACGCAGACATGAGGGCTAGGCTAAAACAGTAAGGTCAAGTTGTTTGGACAGAAAGCCTACAGAGTGTGGTCCTGGCTCTTGTGTAAGAATTCTGACCACGCTAACCATGCCTATTAAGGAAAGGAGTTGTTGTTTTGTAGAAGGAGCTGGGGTTTGAGAGATCAGTCGGACACGATTGGCAAGGAGAGCATGTGTTTTTATGAGAATTATGCCGATATAGGTAACAGATGAGGAAGAAATTTGGGCTTGATTGAAGTAATGGGAGCTGTCTGTGAAGCTTTGTGGTAGTACAGCCTAGGTAATTTGCTGAGCTTGATGGGTGTCAGGGTCAGTCCAAGCAAAAGCGAAGAGAGGCTGGGATAAAGGGTGCAAAGGAATAGTAAAGAAAGCATGTTTGAGATCTGGAACAGAATAATGGGTAGTAGAGGGAGGTATTGAGGATAGGAGAGTATATGGGTTTGGCACCATGGGGTGGATAGGCAAAACAATTTGGTTGATAAGGCACAGATCCTGAACTAACTTGTAAGGCTTGTCTGGTTTTAGGACAGGTAAAATGGGGGAATTGTAAGGAGAGTTTATAGGCTTTAAAAGGCCATGCTGTAGCAGGCGAGTGATAACAGGCTTTAATCTTTTTAAAGCGTGCTGCGGGATGGGATATTGGCGTTGAGTGGGGTAAGGGTGATTAGGTTTTACTGAGATGGTAAGGGGTGCATGATCGGTCGCCAAGGAGGGAGTAGAGGTATCTTATACTTGTGGGTTAAGGTGGGGGAATACAAGAGGAGGACGCAAAGGAGGCTTTGGATTGGGAAGAAGGGCGGCAATGAGATATAGCTGTAGTCCAGGAATAGTCAGGGAAGCAGATAATTTAGTTAAAGTGTCTCAGCCTAATAAGGGAACTGGGCAGGTGGGGATAACTAAAAAGGAGTGCTTAAAAGAGTATTGTCTAAGTTGGCACCAGAGTTGGGGAGTTTTAAGAGGTTTAGAAGCCTGGCCGTCAATATCCACAACAGTTATGGAGGCAAGGGAAGCAGGCCCTTGAAAAGAAGGTAATGTGGAGTGGGTAGCCTCCATATTGATTAAGAAGGGGATGGGCTTACCTTCCACTGTGAGAGTTACCTGAAGCTCGGCATCCATGATGGTCTAGGGGGCTTCCAAGGTGATCGGGCAGTGTCAGTCTTCAGCTGCTAAGCCGAGAAGATCTGGGAGGGAGTCAGTCAGAGAGCCTTGGGCCAGAGTTCCAGGGGCTCTGGGAGTGGCTGCCAGGTGAGTTGAACAGTCCGATTTTCAGTGGGGTCCCACAAAGATGGGACGCGGCTTAGGAGGAATCCCGGGCTGCGGCATTCCTTGGCCCAGTGGCCATATTTCTGGCACGTGTAGCAAGCTCCTGGGGGAGGAGGTTCTGGAGAAACACCTGGCTGCTGCAGTTCAGGCATTTGGAAGTTCTTGTGTGCTGGAGATGTGGCTGGGGTTTGTCTCACAGTGGAGGCAAGGAATTGCAACTTTTTTCTGTTATTGTACACCTTGAAGGTGAGGTTAATTAAGTCCTGTTGTGGGGTTTGAGGGCTAGATTCAAATTTTTGGAGTTTTATTTAATGTCGGGAGCAGATTGGGTAATAAAATGTATATTGAGAATAAGACGGCCTTTTGACCTTTTAGGGTCTAGGGCTGTAAAGCATCTCAGGGTTGCTGCCAAACGAGCCATGAACTGGGCTGGATTTTTATATTTGATGAAAAAGAGCCTAAACGCTTCTGATTTGGGATAAAGAAAAAGGAGCATTAACTTTGACTATGCCTTTGGCTCCAGCCACCTTTTTAAGAGTAAATTGCTGGGCAGGTGGGGGAGGGCTAGTCACGGAACTAAACTGTAAGCCGGACCAGGTGTCAGGAGGGCAGGTGATAAAAAGATTATAGGGTGGAGTAGCAGAGGCTGAGGAAGAATTGGGACCTAGCTTGGCCTGGCGAGGAGCAGCCTGGGGAGGAGGGGAGAGGTCAGATGGGTCTGTAGAAAAGAAGATTAGAAAGACTCAGCCACGCTTGGGGTTGGTACTGAGGGGACAGGCGGGAGGGAAAGAAAGAAGATTTGGGATGAGGTGCACTGGGCACAGAGACTAGGAAGGGACTGATGTGTAAAAGAATGCCTGGATGTCAGGCATCTCAGACCATTTGCCTATTTTTCAACAAAAATTATTTAGGTTTTCCAGGATGGAAAAATTCAAAGTGCCATTTTCTGGCTATTTGGAACTACTGTCGAGTTTGTATTGGGGTCAAGCAGCATTGCAGAAGAAAATAATGCATTTAGGTTTTAGGTCAGGTGTGAGTTGAAGAGGTTTTAAGTTTTTAAGAACACAGGCCAAGGGAGTAGAAGGAGGAATGGAGGGTGGAAGGTTGCCCATAGTGAAGGAAGCAAGCCTAGAGAAAAGAGAGTAGAGAAACGGAGGGAAGGGTCGGGGGTTCTTATCTTCCAGAAAAGTGGGAAAAGGGGTTGGGGCGCAGAGATAAGAGGTCCAGGCATGGAAATAAGGGATTGGGGCACAGAGATATAAGAGGTTGGGGTGTGGAAATAAGGGATTGGGGCACAGAGATAAGAGGTTGGGGCACAGAAGTAAGGGATTGGGGCACAGAGATAAGAGGTTGGGGCGTGGAAATGGATTGGGGTGCAGAGATAAGAGGTTGGGGTGCAGAAATAAGGGATTGGGGCACAGAGATAGGTTGGGGCATGGAAATAAGGGATTGGGGCACAGAGATATGAGGTTGGGGTACTTGCCCCTCCTCTAGAAAAGCGGAACTTGCCACTAAGAGTGAAGGAGAAGGGGTTGAGGGGTACTTGCCCCTTCCCCAGAAAAGCAGGACTTGCCGCTAAGGGTGAAGGAGAAGGGGTTGAGGGGTACTTGCCCCTCTCCCACAAAAGCGGGACTTGCCGCTAAGGGTGAAGGAGAAAGGGTTGAGGGGTACTTGCCCCTCTCCCAGAAAAGCAGAGAAGGGGTAGAGACAAGAAGAGAAGGGGTTGGGGTACTTGCCCCTTCCCCAGAAAAGCGGGACTTGCCACTAAGGGTGAAGGACCAAGGCAGGCATCCCTGCATGGTCTGACACCTTTGAAACGTGAGTGTATAATCAGAGAGGCGTCCCTGCAATGATTAAACACCAAGGGAAGGCTGCCTTCCCAGTCCGTGACTGGCGCCGGAGTTTTGGGTCCACGGATAAAACGTGTCTCCTTTGTCTCTACCAGAAAATGAAAGGAATTGAAATTAAGAGAAGGGAGAGAATGAAGACTGGAAAGGAGAAAGTGGTTGAGAGACAGTGAGAGAGGTTGGAGAAGAGAGTAAGAAGAGGCTGCTTACCTGATTTAAAATTGGTGAGACGTTCCTTGGGCTGGTCGGTCTGAGGGCCTGAGGTCATAGGTGGATCTTTCTCATGGAGCAAAGAACAGGAGGACAGGGGATTGATCTCCCAAGGGAGGTCCCCTGACCCAAGTCACGGCACCAAATTTCATGCGCGTCTGTGTGAAGAGACCACCAAACAGGCTTTGTGTGAGCAACATGGCTGTTTATTTCACCTGGGTGCAGGCGGGCTGAGTCCGCAAAGAGAGTCAGCGAAGGGAGATAAGGGTGGGGCCATTTTATAGGATTTGGGTAGGTAAAGGAAAATTACAGTCAAAGGGGGTTTGTTCTCTGGCAGGCAGGAGTGGGGGTCACAAGGTGCTCAGTGGGGGTGCTTTTTGGGCCAGGATGAGCCAGGAAAAGGACTTTCACAAGGTAATGTCATCAGTTAAGGTAAGGACTGGCCGTTTACACTTCTTTTGTGGCGGAATGTCATCAGTTAAGGTGGGGCAGGGCATATTCACTTCTTTTGTGATTCTTCAGTTACTTCAGGCCATCTGAGCATATACGTGCAAGTCACAAGGGATGCGATGGCTTGGCTTGGGCTCAGAGGCCTGACAATAGATATATAGATATGTAAGCAAATACTAAGAATGAAGTAGAACCAAGGGATTAAACTACCATAAAGCTGCAGTTGTCCTGAAGTCATAGACAGATACCTAGGATCACAGAGTTTGAGTTTTAACAGCCAAAAACTAAGCATTAGATATGAAAAAAGTATAATTTTTTAAAACTCCTGAATTAATCCAAAAGCAATGGAATAAAGCATAGAGAAAGCAGAACAACAAAAAGCATAAATGAAATTATAGAAATAAATTTTAAAATATTATCAGCAATTCATATAATTGCAAATCCATTTAAATTTTTAAAGTCTGTTTTACAAGAGATAAACCCAAAATACACAAACAAAGTTAAAAATAATACCATAAGCCAGAGCAGTCAGGCAAGAGAAAGCAATAAGAGGCATCCAGGTAGGAAGAGAGGAAGTCAAACTATCTGTTGAAAGACTACATGATTCTATACCTAAAAACCCCCAGTCTCTGACCCAAAGCGCCTTGATCTGATAACTTCAGCATAATTTCAGGATACAAAATTGAAGGGGTGGCCTGCCCCTCCACACCTGTGGGCGTTTCTCGTCAGGTGGAACGAGAGACTTGAGAAAAGAAAGAGATACAGAGACAAAGTACAGAGAAAGAAAAGTAGGCCCAGGGAAACCGGTGCTCAGCATACGGAGGACGGGCACCTGCACCAGTCTCTGAGTTCCCTTAGTATTTATTGATCATTATCGGGTGTTTCTCAGAGAGGGGGATCTGGAAGGACAATAGGGTAATAGTGGAGAGAAGGTCAGCAGGAAAACAAGTGAACAAATTTCTCTGCATCATAAACAAGGTAAAGAAAAAAGTGCTGTACTTTTGATGTGCATATACATAAACATCTCAATGCCTTGAAGAGCAGTATTGCTGCCAGCATGTCTCACCTCCAGCCCTAAGGTGATTTTCTCCTATCTCAGTAGATGGAATATACAATGGGGTTTTACACCTAGACATTCCATTGCCCAGGGGTGAGCAGGAGACAGATGCCTTCCTCTTATCTCAACTGCAAAGAGGCCTTCCTCTTTTACTAATCCTCCTCAGCACAGACCCTTTACAGGTGTTGGGCTGGGGGACGGTCAGGTCTTTCCCTTCCCAAGAGGCCATATTTCAGACTATCACATGGGGAGAAACCTTGGACAATACCTGGCTTTCCTAGGCAGAGGTCCCTGCGGCCTTCTGCAGTGTATTGTGTCTCTGGGTACTTGAGATTAGGGAGTGGTGATGACTCTTAACAAGCATGCTGCCTTCAAGCATTTGTTTAACAAAGCACTTCCTGCACAACCCTTAATCCATTTAACCCTGAGTTGACACAGCACATGTTTCAGGGAGCACAGGGTTGGGGGTAGGGTTACAGATTAACAGCATCTCAAGGCAGAAGAATTTTTCTTATTACAGGACAAAATGGAGTCTCTTATGTCTACTTCTTTCTACATAGACACAGTAACAGTCTGATCTTTCTTTTCCCCACAAAAATTAATGTACAAAACTCAGTAGTATTTCTACACACAAACAAGGGGAACTTAAACAAATTTACAAGCAAAAAACAACCCCATTAAAAAGTAGGCAAAGGACATGAACAGACACTTTTCAAAAGAAGATATACATGTGGCCAACAATCATATGAAAAAAAGCTCAACATCACTGATTAGAGAAACACAAATCAAAACCACAATGAGATACCATCTAACATCAGTCAGAATGGCTATCAATAAAAAGTCAAAAAATAACAGATACTGGTAAGGTTGCAGAGGAAAGGGAAGGCTAATATACTGCTAGTGGAAATGTAAATTTGTTCAGCCATTGTGGAAAGCAGTTTGGTGATTTCTCAAAGAACTTAAAACAGAAATATCATTCAACTCAGCAATCCCATTATTGGGTATATACCCCTAGTGCTATTGCACACTTAAAAGACTGCGTACAGTGTATATATAACTTTTATATGCACTGGGAAAGCCCCACAATTTGTGTGATTTGCTTGATTGTGATATTTGCTTTACTGCAATAGTTTGGAACCAAATCTACAATACCTCTCAGTTATACCTCTGTTTAAAAAATAAGAATAATATGCACAGTTTTATGTCATCCAAATTGAACATGTAATTAAAATTCATCACTTCTCAGGGCCAGGCACAGTGGCTCATGCCTGTAATCCCAGCACTTTGGGAGGCTGAGGCGGGTGGATCAGCTGAGGTCAGGAGTTTGAGACCAGCCAGATCAATATGGAGAAACCCCATCTCTACTAAAAATACAAAATTAGCCAGGCGTGTTGGCGCACACCTGTAATCCCAGCTACTCTGGAGGCTGAGGCAGGAGAATCACTTGAACCTGGGAGGTGGAGGTTGCAGTAAGCCAAGATAGCACCATTGCACTCCAGCCTGGGCAATAAGAGCAAAACTCCATCTCAAAAAAAAAAAAAAAAAAAAAAAAAATTCAATTCTCAGAAAACTGAATTCAAAAAGAAAAACATTAGAGCGGAACTATAAATATTTTTAAACTAAAACTGTAGTTTAAGGTATACAAACACACATGCACACATACACACACACACTTCAACTAAGCCCAGATCATTTTTTTAGTTTTTTTTTGGTATATAATATTTGTACATATTTGTGGAACACATGTGATATTTTGATATATGCATAGAATGTGTAATGATTAAATCAGGGTATTTATGATATCACCTCAAATGCTTATCATTTCCTTGTGTTGGGAGCATTTCAAATTTTCTCTTCTAGCTATTTTGAAATATTCAATATATTGCTGTTAACTGTAGTCACCCTGCTTTGCTACTGAACACTAGAATTTATTCTTTCTATCTAATTGTATTCCCTCTATCTAACTACCTAACTGTTGGTACCCATTAACCAACCTCTCCTCATCCCCTCTCCACACACATACACAACCTTGCCAGCTTTTAGTATCCATCATACTACTCTTTACCTCCATAAGATAATCTTTTTTAGCTTCCACATATAAGAGAAAACATGCACTATTTTGTATTTCTGTGCCTGGGTTATTTCACTTAACATAATGACCTCCAGTTTCATCCATGCTGCTGCAAATGACAGGATTTCATTCTCTATGGCTGATTATACTTCATTGAGTGTATATGTCAAATTTTCTTTACCCATTCATTCAGTGATAGGCATTTAGATTGATTCCATGTCTTAGCTATTGTGAATAGTGCTCCAATAAACATGGGGGTGCACGTATCCCTTTGACATACTAATTTCTTGTCCTCTGGGTAAATACCCAGTAGTAGAATTACTAAATTGTATGGTAGTTCTATTTTTAGTTTTTTGAGAAAACTTCATACTGTGCTTCATATTGGCTGTACTAATTTATATTGTCACCAGCATTTTTTTATCTTTTTCATAACCAAAAGTGACAGTGATAACTGAGGTAAGATGGTATCTCATTGTGGCTTTGATTTGCATTTTTGATTAGTGATGTTGAGCATTTTTTCACATACTTGTTGGCCATTTGTATGTCTTCTTTTGAGTAATGTCTATTCATACTTTTGCCCACTTTGTAATGAGATTACTTGGTTTTTGTGGTTGTTGAGTTGTTTAAGTTTCTTGCACATTCTGGATATTAGTTCCTTGTTGGATAAACAGTTTGCAAATATTTTCTCCCATTCACCATGTTATATTTTCATTCTGTGGATTGTTTTGGGGTTTTCTGTTATGTTGTGGTGGTGGTGGTTGTTGTTGCTCTTGCACAGAAGCCTTTTGGTTTAATAGTCCCATTTGTCTATTTTTTTGCTTTGTTTTGTTGCCTATGCTTTTGAAGTCTTAGCCACAAAATCTTTGCCTGGATTGATGTCCTGGAATGTCACCCCTCTGTTTTCTTACTGCAGTTTCATAGATTCAGGTCTACATTGAAGTCTTTAATCCATTTTGAATAGTTTTGTATATGGTGAGAGATAGGGATCTAGTTTGATTCTTCTGCATAAGATATCCAGTTTTATCAGCACCTTTATTGAAAAGGATGTCCTTTCCCTAATGTATATTCTTGGCACCTTTGTTTAAAAGTTGGCTGTAAATATGTGGGTTTACTTCTGGGTTCTCTATTCTGTTCCTTTGGTCTATGTTTATTTTTATACCAATACTGTGCTGTTTTGGTTAGTATAGCTTTGTAGTATATTTTGAAATCAGGTAGTGTAATTCTGCCAGCTTTGATTATTTTGTTCAGGATTGCTTTGGCTGTTCAGGTTCTTTTTTGGTTGCATGTGAATTGTAGGATTTTTTTTCTATTTCTTTGAAAAACATAATTGGTATTTTAACAGGGATTGCATTAAATCTATAGATTGCTTTGAGTAGTAGAACTATGTTAATAATATTAATTCTTCTGATCCATGAGCATGAATGCCTTTTAATTTGTTTCTGCCTTCTTTAATTTCTTTCGTTAGTGTTTTGTACTTGTCCTTGTAGAGGTCTTTCACCTCCTTAGTTAAATTTATAGGTATTTTCTCTTTTTGTGTAACTGTGGCAAATGAAATTGCTTTCTTGATTTCTTTTTCCTTCAGTTTGTTGTTGGTGTACAAAAACAGCTACTGATTTTTGTATGTTGATTTTGTATCCTCCAACTTTTTATTAGTTCTAAGAGGTTTTTTTAGGTTTTTCTAAATATAAGATCATGTCATCTACAAAGAGGGACAATTCAACTTTTTTTTAACCTTATTTATGTTGAAGGACTACCGTTTGACTTTTTCTTTTCCAATTTAGATGCCCTTTACTTTTTTATCTTGCCTGATTGCTCTGGCTAGAACTTCCAGTCCCATGTTGAATAGGAGTGGTGAAAATGGGCATTCTTGTCTTGTTCCAGTTTTTAGAGAAAAGGCTTTCAGCTTTTCACTCTTCAGTATGATGTTAAGTGCAGGTTTGTCATAAATGGCTTTATTATGTTGAAGTATGTTCCTTCTATGTCTAGCTTGTTGAGAATTTTTATTATAGTGATGTTAAATTTTATCAAATGATTTTTCTGCTTCTATTGAGATGATCATATGGTTTTGTCCCTCATTCTGTTGATGTGATGTATCACATTTATTGATGTGCAGACGTTAAATCATCCTTGCATCCCTAGGATAAATCCACTTGATCATGGTGTATTATCTTTTTGATGTGTTGTTGAATTCAGTTTGCTAGCATTTTGTTGAGAATTTTTGTGTCTATGTTTATCAGGGAGATTGGCCTGTAGTCTTCTTTTTTGTTGTGTCCTTGTCTGGTTTTGAGATCAGAGTAATGCTAGCCTCAAAGAATGAGTTAGAAAAAAAGTTCCTCCTCTTCACATTTTTATAATAGTTTGAAAAGAATTGGTGTTAGTTCTTCTTTATAAGTTTGGTAGAACACAGCAATAAAGCCATCCAATATTGGGCTTTTCTTTTCTGGGAGTTTTTTTAATTACTGATTCAATATTGTTACTCATTATTGGTCTGTTTATTTCTTTTATTTCTTCCTGGTTCAATCTTGGTAGGCTATATGTGACCAGGAATTTATCCATTTCCTCTAGGTTTTCCAGGTTTTTAACATATAGTTGTTTACAATAGTGTCTGATGATCTTTTGTATTTCTGTGGTATCCAATATATTACCTTCTTTTTTATTTTTGATTTTGTTTATTAATCCAGACAGCTTTACAGATTAATTCTACTAAACATTTAGTAACAAATAGTTCCTACCATATAAAAACTTTTACAAACAATAGAAAAAGGCATTCATTTTATGAAGTTAACATAATCACAGTAGTAAAATTTAACCAGAAAATAAAACAAGAAATAAAATTAAAATCCAATGTGGTAGCATAGGACTAAATGCCTACTTGAAAATAATTGTTATGAATTTAAACTGAAATTACTTTTCATGATTTTGTGTTTTTCCAGATACATACAGTTTTATGAATGCAGGTGCAAAGTATGTAGAGAGTTAGATTTAACCCAAGTGGTGGTTCTGCCAAATGAATTTGAAGAAACAAACAGGGAAAAAGGAGTTGGGCACATTTGAAAGGGAGTAATTCCAATGGCAGGTCATGGAATCTATTCGGATAAAGAAGGAAGAAAGGATAGCAGAGGGATGAGGGATGATAAAAAGATGCTAGGGTCCATAAACTACAATCCCTGATGGGAGATGGAAAATTGATTTGATCAGCAATCCTTCGATGTAGGAAAGGCAATATTATTTTCACATTTATATATGATGAAACTGAGACTCAGATATGCTAACAGCCTTTTCTAAAGGAAGTATATACATGAGAAATTATCAGAGCTTTCATTCCAATGTGAATACCCTGGCTCTCACTCCCTTTTCTGGTCTTTACTGACTTCCACATCTTGCTAATTTTCCTGGTTACTGCTATTTCTTAGGGGTTAATTCTCACTTAGGGTCAACTAAGGATTCCCACATAATCAGTCAGATTTTGATAAGGCTCAGATTTTGTTTCTATTTTAATAATGTTGTAAGTTCGAATTTTTTGAAATAATTATTTAAGATGAGAGGAAACATCTGTTTAAAAAGGGAAATGAACTTTATTGCCACAAAATGCCCACACTGTGTAAGAATGGAGAGCACAGTCCAACGTTCTCAAAATCCGTGTATATTCTATTACAACTAATTTTCTTCCAGTCTTCCTTCTCTATTTATATTCCATTCACAAGGTTTCTCTGCTCCTTTTTTGAAGGTTGAATTTTGAACACACTATTTACAGCCTGCAGGTTTTTTGTTTCCTTGTTCTACATTGTAGGTTGACTAGGAAGTGCTAAGAATACCTTTCTCTAGAAGACTATAAATCGCCACATAAAGTCTATTTGTTTGACAACCTTTCCTCCCCTTGGTAACCTTACCAAGAATTCCTTCAAGGTCATCAAACTTGAAATATGTATTTATAATCATTATGTAATAAAATGAGAAGATGGGACTTGTTTGGACATCTTTTTATACAAACTGACATTTATTCTTCTGCCAATATCAATAAATAAAAAGAGCTGCAAAATACATGCGTCATCATTCAGAAAACTGACAAAAATGACTGGAGAGTTGTTGCTTAAGTAAACCAGTTATCATTTAAGTATCAGGGTCAGAAAATATATGGTGCTTAGTTTGATTTATCGTCTAGGTGTGTGCCTGCTTCTTTGTACCATCAATTTCCTAAGTATAACCTATCAATTTGGAGAGACACACTTTCCAGCTCAACAACACCAGTGCATTAACATCTTTGAAGGCATTCACCACACATGTAAGATGTAAATCAAAAGTAAATTTATTCTAAAATGATGTTTTTAAGATACTATTGTGAAAAATTAAAAGTACCTCCAGGGAAATAAAAATAAAACACTTTCTAAAATTGGAATGCACTGTCTTGTGTCCAGAATTGCTGTTGTAAGGCAAATTTGTGTTTAGAAAATATAGTTGTTATCTTGATATTTCCTTCTTTTTTGTCACTCCTAAAAGGCCTTATTTGCTCTTATTTATATTTCTCCTGCCTTATTCCGCCATATAATTTTCTCTTACACTTATATACTTTTGATTTCTCAGTAGTTTAGCCTACTTGATTTTCTATGTAACATTGAATTCCTGCCAGTTTTGTAAAACTTATTTCATATTGCTTTAAAGTGTGATTTTTCTCAAGCCCCAGATGCAGTAAATGTGAAACACTGTGCTGTGTGGAAATTTCAGTCACTGCATTTGTTTGGTTAAGACAACTTAATTGCTTGCAGAGGCAGCTCCAGTTTCAGCCAGTAAAACAAATTCAATGATCACTGTGAGTAAGGTGAGAACAAAGAAGAAATAGTATTTCATTCTTCTGCTGGTGGCTCTTCACTGCACTTATCACCACTAGGGAGTCAATGTTGGAGGGAGGGTGTCAAAAAGAGTGAGAATGCAGAATTGACAAGTAATGTTCCCATGAAATTATTGCTGAACCAGATGTAGAAAAATAATATCAAGCAAATATTTCAAATAACAGACAGCTGCACAGAAAAGGCAACTCTGAGAGCTTTCATCACAATAAAATGTATTTTAAAAGTAAGAGGTACAGACTTCCCTCAAATACCTAGCCTCCAAAAGTGTTGCTTTGAAGAGATCTAATAAACTGTTGCTGAAGTAGAAGAATCAGCTTGACATTGGTGAGATTTTTAAAGAAATTTTTAATGTATATGTTGCTGCATCTCATTCTACCTCTTCTCTACTCAGAATGTTATATGCGGAATTTAAAGGACGACGCAAGGTTGGGGAGTAAGAAGTAACTTAGTCCCATTCCTATCAAACCGCACAGCTCTTCCAGAGGGGGAGACACATAATCAATCATGGGTGAGAGAATCCCAATATCCATTGCAACCTTATGAGTTAAGAGACCATCTACAGATGTGTAAAGTTTAGGAGAGTAAAAGAAACTACAGAAGAAATCTTGGAAAACCAAGATGCCTACTTTGGGCAAATAACATTTTGATGAGCTCTGCAGATTCACTTTCCTGAAGGTCATGTTCAAAAGAGGTCATAATGCTCAGATGGGCAATAGTAGTAAGAATACCACCCAGGCCCATTGGCAGCAGCATATGCCTTTGAGCATAATACTGAGCTGCTTCCACCCACAAGCCCATGAGAAAATTGTGTTATCTTTATTATCTGGTGGGATCTGTGAAAGCCTGGAGTGTTAGAGGAGGGAAAGACACTTGAAAAATTAATCAAAGAAAATCCAGAAATTCTTAGTGTAAATTGGGCTGACATTAGATAGGAATTTGTATAGATGTTCACTGTGCATATATCCTTGAAAAGATAGTTTAGATCAAAGGGCTTCGGTGAACCACTTTGCAAGACATTCAGGAACACAAAAGACTCACGGAGAATTTTCTCTTAACACTGCCTTTCACTGAATAGCTACCCAGGAGAGAAATATTCCTTCAAAAACAATATCCAGAGGCCAAAGCAAGAATTCCAACCCCAACCCATAGTGTCTATACTTTCAGAAAGAGATTATCTCAAAAAATATATTCCAAATGCAATTTCAGGGCTGATGCAATTTTTATCTCTTCATGCTTTTGTTATCTACCACTTTGCAATTACTGAGTGAGTGACTCTGTTTCATAGTAAAATGCCCCATAATATTTACTGAGCCTTTTTATATGCCAGGCATCTTGCTAACCACTCTACATGGCTTACATAATTTAAAGATTGCAATAAGTTTATAAAGGAAATATTATTCCTGACTTATTGATAAAAAAGCAAGACTTCCAATCAAGACTATATGGTAAATTCTGTCTGTGAGCTACATACACTCATACACACATGCACACACACACACATACGTGCATGTACAGATACACACATATTCAACCCACTCCCACATATCACTCTCATTAATATTTCAAAAAGAGTTAATAAAATTTGGACAAGGTGGAGTAAGATAGCCAAATAGAAGCTTCCACCAATCATCTTCCATGCAGGAACACCAAACTGACAACTATCTACACAAAGGAAAAGTATCTTCCTAAGACTCAAAAATCAGGTGAGCAATCACAGCGCCTGGTTTTAATCTCAGTTCACTGAAAGAGGCACTGAAGAGTGTAGAAAAGACAGTCTTAAATGCCGACACCACCCCTCCCCCATTCCCCAGCAGCAGCCATATGAGGCAGAGACTCTGCACTTGGGGGAGAGAGAGTATAGTGATTGTGAGACTTTGCATTAAAACTCAGTGCTGTCAACACTGAGAAATACTCAGCTGACGTCCATGGAGGGAGCATTTGGACCAGCCATAGCCAGAGGGGAATCCTACATTATAGCAGTTGGAACTTGAGTTTCAGTTAGACTTGCCAACATGCTAAAGTGCTCTGGGGTCCTAAATAATCTTGAAAGGTTGTCTAGGCCATAAGGACTGCAATTCCTAGGCAAGTCTTTGTGCTGTGCTGGGCTCAGAGCCGGTAGACTTAGGAGATATGTGACCTGTGAGATACCAGTTTGGGAGGCTAAGGGAGTGCTTGCAACACCCCTCCCCTAATCCCAGGCAGTGAAACTGACAGCTCCAAAACAGACCCCTTCCTTGTAATTAAGGAGAGGAGAGGAAAGAGTAAAGAGAACTTTGTCTTGCAACTTGGATACTAGCTCAGCCACAATAGGATAGGGCACCAGGGAGAGTCATGAGGCCCCCATCCCAGGCCCTCACTCCCAGATGTCATGTCTACACGCAACCTAGGCCAAAAAGGAACCCACTTCCTTGAAGGGAAGAACCCAGTCCTGGCAGTATTCACTACCTGCTGAGTGAAGAGTCCTTGGGCCCTAAATAATAAGCAGTGGTAACTGGGTAGAACATGCCATGGGCCTTGGGTGAGACTCTGAGACATGCTGACTTCAGGTGTGACCCAGCATATTCATAGCTATGGTGGCTGTGAAGAGAGACTCCTTCTGCTTCAGAAAGCAAAGGGAAGAGTAAGTGGGACTTTGTCTTGTAGCTTATGCACAAGCTCAGCCACTGTGGGAAAGAACACCTAGGGGGATCTTGGGGTCTCTGATTCTAGCCTTGGCTCTTGGATGGCATCTCTGGACCTATCCTGGGCCAGAGGGGAGCCCATTGCCCTGTAGCATCAGTCCCAGGCCTAGCAGCATTCACCACAAGCTGACTGAAGAGTGCTTGGGCCTTAAGTGAACATCGGCAACATCCTAGCAGTACTCCCATGGGCCTGTGGTGGTGGTGGTGGACACAGGGAGAGACTTCTCTGCCTGGGGAAAGGGGAGGGAAGAATGGAAGGACTTTGTCTTGTGATTTTAGCCCCAGCTTAGCCACAGTAGAATAGAGTACCAGGTAAATTTCTAAGATTTGTTACTCTAGGCCTTGGCTCCTGGATATATCTCCGGACCCATCTGGGGCCCAAAGGAACTTGCTGTCATGAAGGCAAGGACACAAGACTGGCTGGCTTCACCACTTGCTGATTGTTGAGCCTTGGGACCTTGAGCAAATATAGATGGTAGCCAGGTAGTGGTTACAGTGGTCCTTGGACAAGACCCCATGCTGTGCTGGCTTCAGGTCTGACCCAGCACCGTCCCAGTGATGGTGGCCACAGGGGTGCTTTTGGTGCCCCTCTTCCAGCTCCAGGTAGCTCAGCACATAGAGAGATTCCATTTGATTGGGAGAAAGTAAATGAAGAGAAGAAGAATCTCTGCTGTCTAGGCCACAGGATAATAAAAAGACAGGTAATCAAAAGAATTCTTCCAGATCAAATTGAAGACTACCAAGTCAGTACCTCTACGAGTGCAAGAATTACAGTGTTACTGGGCTTGGGGTGCCTTCTAATTCAGATATAGCTGCAGTGACCAAAAACTTAGATCACAACATCCAAGTCCCTTCAAATATCTAGAAAGCCTGCTGAAGAATGATGGGTATAAACAAGCCCATACTGAGAATACTACAATAAATACCTAACTCTTCAATGCCCGGACACCAATGAACATCAGAAGCATCAACACCATCCAGGAAAACATAACCTCACCAAATGAACTAAATAAGACACCAGGGACCAATCTCAGAGAGACAGAGATATGTGAACTTTCAGAGAGAGAATTCAAAATAACTGTTTTGAGGAAACTCAAATGAATTCAAGATAGCACAAAGAAGGAATTCAGAATCCTATCAGATAAATTTAACAAAGAAATTGAAATAATTAAAAAGAATCAGGCAGAAATTCTGGAGGTGAAAAATGCAATTGGCATACTGAAGAATACATCAGCCTCTAAGCAATTGATCAAGCAGAAGAAAAAATTAGTAAGCTTAAACACAGGCTATTTGGAAATACAGGCTATTTGGAAATATGGTCAAAAAGAATAAAAAAGAATGAAGCACACCTAAAAGATCCATAAAACAGCCTCAAAATGGAAAATATGCGAGTTATTGACCTTAAGAAGGAGGTAAAGAGAGAGACTGGGTAGAAAGTCACAGATGAGTTAAAAGAAAAAAGACAGAAATATATATGTATATGTGTGTGTGTATATATATATATATATGTACATATATACACACTATATAAACAGTAGTCAAAAGAAAAATAGCATGACCCAATTAATATTAAACAAAAGAGACTTCAAAATAAAGAATATTTGCTAAGATAAAGAGGGGCATTTCATAATGATAAAATGGCTAATTTATCAAGAAAACAGCAATTCTTAATGTTAACCTAACAACAGAGTCAAAGTAAATGAAACAAAATTTAACAGAATTAAAGAGAAAAAATAATTAATTAATAATTATTGTTGGAAACTTTAATACTCTTCTATCAATGATCGATAAAACAATTAGATCAATCAATATAAATTTGAAGAAGAATTTGAACATTATCAACAAATTTGTCCTAATGAAATTACAATGCACCACACCCAGCAGCTGAGGATATACAAGCTTTTCAAGTGCACATAGAATATTCACCAAGCTAGATCATATGATGAGGCATATAAAATAAGCCTTAAAAATTTGCAGTGTTTTTTGCACACAAAACATATTCTTTGACCAGAAAACAGTTTAATTAGAACTCAAAATCAATAATATATCTTGATTATCCCCCAAAATATTTGAAAATTAAGCATACACTTCTTAATAATCCAGTGTCGATGAGGAAATCACAAATACACATTAGAAAGTATTTTAACTTAATCATAATAAAAACACAACATGTCAAAATGTATGACATGCCATCTAATGAGGTTCTAAGAGAGAAATTTAGGGCTTTAAATGTTTACTTAAAAAAACAAGAAAAGTGTAAAATCAAAGATCTAAGCTTTCACTTTGAGAAGCTAGAGAAAGAATAACAAAGTAACTCAAGATAAATAGAAGAAATAAAATGATAATGATAAGAAAATAATAAATATAAAAAGCAAATAACATTCAACTTTTCAAAACAAAAGAATAGACAATCTATATTACATTGCATCCATTAGAGAAATTAAATCAATAATTTAAAACCTTCCTAAAAAGGAAGCTTCTGCCAAGATGGCATCAATGGTGAAGTCTATCAAACAATAAAGCAAAAAAAAACCAATATCACCAACGCACTTTCAGAAAATGAAGAGCAAGGAACACTTTTACTCATTTTGAAACTAATACCCTAAAGTTAAATCTTGGCAATGACATTACAGGGAAAGAACATAACAGTCCAATATCCCTCATTAATATAAATGTAAAAGTACTTAATAAAGAAGTATCAATTCATTCCAAAAGACAATCAAGAAATGGCAGAATTAACTCCAATAATGCAAGAGAATGACTATATAATTATTGCAATAATTGCAATAAAAGGTTTAGCCAAAAGCCAGTACTGCTTCATGATTTTAAAGACCTCTCAGAAAACTAGAAATAAAATAAAATATCCTTTTATTTATTTAATGGAGCACTTCTACAAAAAATCTACAGTAAATACTATACTTAGTAGTAAAATATTGAACAATTTGTCACTGAGGTCACACAAAAAACGTAAGTATATCTGCTCTCAGAACTTCTCTTCAACATTGTAATGAGATTCTACCTAATGCAAGAAGACATTTTAAATAAAAGGTATGAATATGGGGAAAGAAAAAGTAAAACTGTACTTATTTACAAGTGAAATACATGTATACCTAGGAAATCCAAAGGATTTCACCCAAACAAACTAATAGATCTAATATCTGAATTCAGCCAAGTCTTAGGATACAAGGTCAATATACAAAATCAATTGTATTTGTTTATACTAGCAACAAGCACTAGAGATTGACATTTTTAAAAAATCAATACATTTTGTTAGGAGTACCATAAAAAAAATCCAAAACACCAGCAGTGCATTTAACAAAGGATATAAAAGACCTCTATTTAGACAACTTCAGAACATTGCTGAGAGAAACTGTGGAAAACCTAAAGAAATGAGATATACCATAGCAATGGGTTAAAAGCATCAATATTATAAAAATGGCATTTGTCCCCATATTAAGCTATGGACTCAATACAATTCCAGTCAAAATCCCAACAGGTTTTTTATAGAAATTGGCAAGCAGATACTAAACTTTATATAAAAATGCAAACAACCTAGAATGGCCAAAGCA
Source organism: Homo sapiens (assembly GCF_000001405.40). NCBI lineage: Eukaryota > Metazoa > Chordata > Mammalia > Primates > Hominidae > Homo > Homo sapiens. The sequence continues at coordinate 96,573,558 of NC_000011.10, read as the reverse complement.
ATCTTAAGAAAGAAGAACAAAGTTGAAGAAAAAACATTGCCTGATTCTAATGATTACTATAAAGCTATAAAACCAGAGTAATTAAGATGGTGTCATATTGACATAAGTATAGAAGAAAAATGGAACAATAGAACAAAGTAGAATCCAGAAATAGGTGGGCTAGATAATAATTTTTTAGGTAGAATTCATGGAACACTAAACATAAAGAAAAATTATAAATCATGCATTATAAATATTAAAATTTTCTTATCAAAAGACATTTAAGAAAAAAAGACAAGCCAAATTGAAAAAAAATTACCAAGATTTCACAAATCAATGATAAAAAAGACTGACAACCCAATTAAAAATGGGAAAAAGGATTTAGACAGATACTTCAAAAATTGTGTATACAAAGAAAAGAAGATATACAAAGGAAAATATGTTTAATCATTGGCATGGATGAAATATAAATTAAAGCCAATTAGACATCACTACACACCCACTAGAATAGTTACCACTAAAAAGACTGACTCTACCAAGAGAATGAGGAGCAACTGGAACTCTCATATACCGTGGGTGGGGGTATAAAATGGTAGAACCAATTTAGAAAACTGTTTAGCAGGGTTTTTGTTTTTGTTTTGTTTTTGAGACAGAGTCTCGCTGTATCACCAGGCTGGAGTGCAGTGGCACGATCTTGGCTCCCTGAAACCTCCGCCTCCTGGGTTCAAGTGATTCCGCTGCCTCAGCCTCCCGAGTAGCTGAGACTACAGGCACACGCCACTGAGCCCGGCTAATTTTTGTATTTTTAGTAGAGACAGGGTTTCACCATGTTGGCCAGGATGGTCTCCATCTCTTGACCTTGTGATCCGTCCACCTTGGCCTCCCAAAGTGCTGGGACTGCAGGCATGAGCCACTGCACCCGACCGCAGGTTTTTAAAATAAAATTATACATACACCTATGTCTAGCAATTCCAGTCCTCAGTATGAAAAAATTGAAAACTTAGGCCCATAAAAAATAAGCATGAAAGTGTTGATTGCAGCTTTACTTATAATAGAGAAAAAAAAATGTAGAGGAAATAGATGTCTGTCAATAGGAGAATGTGTAGTGACCTGAAATCCAAGTGAAGAAAATATTTCAAGGAAGAAGCAGTAATCAGCTGTATCAATTGCTGATATTTCAAGTTATATAAGAACTGAATTGACCACTGAATTTAGGTAAGTCATAGGAATCTAAATAATATTAAATAACTTAAAACAAAATACAATCTTTAAAGGTTTTATTTAATGTCAACTACTTCAACTGGGAAAAATTGCATCACAATCTATTTTTCACTTTTCTGCCTTGTATTATAACTTCACTGCAATACACATTTGTGATAAAGAGTATAATGTTCTTCCTAAAATTAGCTAATATACTCTTAGCATTTCCGTAATAATAAATTCATTTCCCTAATTATTATAGTATTTTCATATCCTTAATATTCAGTGTCTGTACAAATAAATTGGCAGGTTTCACAATTATCAGTTTTTCAGTATGTCCCTCTAACAGTAATAAATTTACACTATACTCCCAAGTGACTCATGGGGATTTCAACATATAAAGCATATGATGAGATGTTTTCATTTCATTACAGATGTATGCTTACTTATATTTCAAAGTGAAATTTTTAGGTAATATAAATTCAAATAAAATTGTTGTTTATTTACCCATATGGTTATGATGATAAGACGGTAACTTTCATGAACACAAAACATGCCAGAAATGACTATAAAATGGACATTTAGCTATCTGGACTTTGTAAGATCAAGTGGGCAGAGCAGATTCAGGCTGAATACTGACGTAAATGTGAAATTTCGTATATTTTACTAGTTCAAAACCTAAAAAAACAAGAAATTGCAAATAACTTATAGGTTAAAGAAGAAATCACACTGAAAAGAACAAAAAAATTAAAGAATTTGAATTTCAAAGAGGATAAGTAGTTTACACAAAGTCATATAGCTAATCAATAACCAATTCATACTCAATATATAATTTTTTTTTCTTTTTTTTCTGGGTATCTTTTTTTAATTTTTTTTAATTTTTTAATTTTTTTTTATTATTATACTTTAAGTTTTAGGGTACATGTGCACATTGTGCAGGTTAGTTACATACGTATACATGTGCCTCAATATGTAATTTTAAGTTTTTAATCATTATAAAACAATGCCTCTGTGATCCTGAAAGATGTCTTGGCCTACATCTTTAGGCCACTCAACACCATCTGAAGCCAGTCAGAATTTATCTTAATCTATTAATAAATTTTCCAAAACAATTTGTATAGAAGCTGAGGAATCACTCACATCTCCCACTAGAATGTATTATCCATGAGGGTTGGGACCTGGCTAGCCATGTGTATTCACCTCCACATTCTCAGTGTCTAGAACATTTGGTACATATATTGCTTTCTTGATAAATATGTATTGAATGAGAGAATAAAAGAATAATTAAAATTTGGAGATTTTATCTGTTGTTTGATTTTTGTATCCCAAACTCTAGCCACATAAACAATTATATCTCAAATCACAATTATCTAAGTGTTTAATAGAGATAAGAGCAGCACAAAGTGGCATTACAACAGAAGAGAAATCTATCAATATGGAACAATAACATAAGAGGTGTAAAAAAGTAAAAACCTGTATGGAGTATTCTGGGGAGAGTCAGGTATTGAATATATGCTTATGTTTTAAAGGCACTGTTACGGGTTGAATTGTGTTCTCCTCTAAATGTATATGTTGAAGTCCTAACCACAGTACCTCAGAATATGACCTTATTTGGAAATAGGGTTGCTGCAAACATCATTAATTAACAGGGTTCATACTAGGGTAGGATGGTCCCCTAATCTAATATGACTGGTGTTCTTATAAGAAAGGGAAATTTTAGACACAGACACACATACAGCGGGAGTGATGTGAAAATGAAGGCAGAGATTAGGGTGATACTTCTACAAGTCAATGAATCCCAAAGATTGTCAGTAAACCACCAGGAGCTGGGAAAGGCATGGAACAGATCCTTTCCTGAAAGCCCTCAGAAGAAACCAAACCTATCCATACCTTGATCTCAGACTTCTAGCCTCCAGAACTGCAAATCATAAATTTCTGTTGCTTAAACCATCCAATTTGTGGTACTTATTACAGCAGTCCTGGCAAGCTAATATTGGCACCATACAGATATCAATTACACCCATTGGGCTCTTAAACCGTTGCTACTTGATCATCTTTCTATAGCGGGTGGTTTCACATCTATAGAAGATATGAAATGTCATAATAAAAAACTTGAGCTAAAGCATCAATGAATGGTTAAACTGGATGACCTTTAAATACCTCCAACTTTGAATGTTTATAGCTCTATGGTTCTAAGATTATTTCTCTCTCTGGGGTCATTATTCAGAAAAGAAAAATGGAGTATCAGTTCCAACAAAATTTCACTAAGCACTTAAAATACCACCCATCAAGTATTGTCCTCTTTTGAATGGTTTTGAAAGCATTTGAAAGTGGAAAGTTGCAATTCTTGCCTTCAGTACTCAAGAAATATGAATATAAGGATAAATAACGAAGTAGATAACCTTATAATGTTACTTCTGGTTTTGTCCCATGTGTTTGGGTTGGGTGCATTTTCAAGGAATCTATTAAGCGCCCTTTCCTCCCACACTTCTCAAGGGTCTGATTCCTGCTCTCAGCATCCTCAGTTCTCAATACACCCCTGAATCCAGAGGATAAGAGGGTTGATAAGAAAAACCCCGGAGCCAAGTTGTACTACATGGAATGTTACAGAGCAGCCCTCCACTGGGATTAACTATATTTTAATCTTTGTCAATATTTGTTACAATAAAAAGGATGCTCTCTGAAACTCAGTTTAACACTTTATGACAACTTATCTTACACATCTTTACCAACCACAAGTCTTTGAGTTCTTTGAGGACAAGAACCATCACTTTACCTTATTCCCTAGCACACTGTGTGCCTGGTACTTTGCCTGGGAATGGAGGCATAAACATAACACATATTTACCTCCTAACATGTAAATTAATATTAATAGCACATCACAAATTTGCATAAAGCATTAAGACAATGTGTCACTAATGCATAAAGATTCATCAGGCTCAGGGATGCTACTTTGTGCTTCGCCCTGAAAATCAGCCTAACATCTGAATTTGATTTAAGAGACCCTTCTTCAAATCTACTACATTTCTCTGTGCCTAACTGTATCAAAGCATATTTACTACGTTTTCTTGAAATTATCTCTTTATGGCTCCTTTTTCATTTGATTATGTACTTCTGAAAGGCAAGGATCATTTTCTTTTAATTTTTGTATCACCCAGCATGTATATCACAAGTCCTGAAACTGTATAGGTGGTCAAAACTACTTGCTTAACATATGCTTATTGTTTCTCAAAAGGAGAAAGAGAATACATTTTTATATATAAAATACCTGCAGAATATCCAGATGATGATGCTACGTAGACATTTGAAACATAGAATAAAAGATCATAATGGACTCAGAAGTCATAGAATTTGAAAAAGATGACCTAAGTATGCTCCCTACTGTTCCTTTCAGAACCTACCTTACATAGCACCTATGAAATTCCTTCCTTACTGACTTCCCCTTGATTTGTTGGTTGGTTGTTCAATTTCCACCTCCTCTGTATATCGTGCTGGGTTATATGCTTCTATATTTATTTTACAATAGTTAGATCACATTATATAAACTTCTTTGCATTTACTTTCCCTATGTAACAAAATCCCCCCATTCAGTTGTTTCCCTATGTAACCTATTAACGATTACATAATATTCCATAGTATGTGTATTAATTAGGGTAAATAACTAAACTGCTACTAAAGAGAGATCTCAACATTGCAATGACCAAAAACATGTTTATTTTTCTTTCATCTAATAGTTCCAGCCAGTTTTTTTCCCACCCACAGGTACCTGGTTTCATACAGTTGTTCAGGGTCCCAGGCTGATGGCAGTTCTAGCATCCTCAGCATATAGCTTCCAAAGTTGCTCTGGGCATTCCCATTCCCACCCTGAACTGAAGAAATAGCATAAAGGAGCACATGCAGGAGGTCTATGGTCAGTCCTGGGACTGACACACATCACTTCCATTCACTTTCCATTGGCAAGGATTGATTCATAAGGCCACACATAGATGCAAGGGGACCTTGGAAGATCAGCCAGGCAGTCACATTCCAGCTATGACTTGATTACTATGGAAGAAGAAGAGAATCGATTTTGGTGGACAGCTAGCAATTTTCACCCTAGTGTGAATTTACCAAAATTTGTTCAAATTTCTTCCAAATGATGGGCCTTTATTTCTTATTTATCCTTACTTACCAGTGTTTTTATTTATATGAATTTCAGGAAATGAAAGTAAGATTCAATAAATATGGTCACATTGCTTTCTCAACTTTCCTTATAAATTTTAACATTTAATCTTGGGGTTAACCTGCTCTTTAAAAATAGTATAATAAATATTGCATGCTGATCTTTCATTTAACAGTTTTAAAATAGGCCCACAACCTAGGCATCAACAAGTATCCTTTTGTCAAAAAGTCCAAAATCCCCTGCCTGCTAAGGCCCCACTATACCAAATAACACATTGTAGAAGAGCTAATTCATCTGGAGAGGAAAGTGCTCATCTAGTAAATAAAACACAGGGCCCCTAGTTCAAGTAGAGTGTGATTTGAGATTGATATGCTAGGCATTTGATGGGCTTAATTTGTTCCCCAGTGATACGTAATCAGCATTACAAAACCTCTCACGCATCCCTGGGATGAATTTGGATAATCTTCAAATCAGCAGTCAGAAAAACTCTTAAGCAGAGTATATCTGTAAAACTGAATAATTATGTCTACCGTTCTTCAGAAAGCTCAGAAAAGTTTGCAAACAATAATTAAGCCATAGAACATTTATAAGACATGGGCAAAATATTATTTTCTTTTTCTACACAAAGAGCAGGATGAGAAGAGTTAAATGATTAAGTGCAAGAGCTAGATAAAGATAGAATTCCTGAAGTGCTGATATCAGGGTAATAATTTAGCCACTAGACTCCTCTTCTCTTCTTGTTATTCAAAAGGTAGATCTCCTCAGGTCCTGGTTTCACAAATGCGAGCGGCATAAAGAATCTTACACCGGGGCTAGTCAGCAGATAAATAGGATACTTTCACTTTGCTGAGCTACCAGAATTTACACTTCAAAGGCCTAGGCTGTATCACACAAAGGGAGTTGAAAAAATGAACCAAATCTTCCTTTTAGTAAAACTTCTTTAAAAAACTTCTTTTGAAAATATGACAAAATTTGTCAAATTTTACACAACATTAAAAATTAGATTTGGAATAATTTCACTAAAGTACGAAAATCATTATTGTTGCTTTGTCAAGTTTATAAAAGGGGTGATTTCCGATAGCATGGCAGAATTCAAATGTAAAGATTAATTTCTTAAAATGTATATGACTAGTGGGAGAATAATTTCCTTGAGTTATTTTAGTTGTGCCATACTTATTATAAAAATTATCATATATGATTAATGCATTATATTAAGCATAGTAAAAATAAGTATAACAATCATATAGATGGCTATGTTTTATTTCCATATTTTACAAAATACATAAACATTGAAAAACTATTTGGTTTTCAGCATTTTAGTATTAAGTTCTTTTATCTTCAATGTATATTTTTGGGGCTGATGAAAGAAATCCTTTTTAAAATCCATTAAAGATATTTAAAATCTTTAATTTAATATTAAATTCCTATATATTAATTTAATGTATATGTTAAATATTCAATATATTAAATATTAAATGTATAATAGAATATATATAATATAAATTAAATATTTTATAAAATATATATTTAATATATTTAATATATATTACATACCATATAAAACATATTTACTATATATACATAATATAATATATATTATATTAACTATATATTTAATATATATTATATCAATATTAATATAATATATATTTAATATAATTTATATATTACATTATAGTATATATTTATTATATTATATAATATATTATAATATATAATATAAAATAAATATATTACATAAATTATAATATATATAATATGTACAATAAATATAATGTGTATTATATATAATATATAATACATATTATATTATGCTATTTTGTATATATAATAAATATTATATTATATTATAA